>NC_000013.11:74620227-74771742 GCF_000001405.40 Homo sapiens | reverse complement strand
ATATAATGGCATGATACTGTTACCAAAACTTTCTATTTCTATTCAGAACTGAAATTTAATTCTGACTGTCGCATGCTGTGGGAACTATAGACTAAGCCAAAATCCAGTCATGATCTTCGAGAAACTTCTACTGTCATTTATTTATCAAATAGACTAGAGGTTAAGGCAAAGCACTTTGCAATAAGAGAGAAAAATGTTAGAGACATAAAGAGAAAACAGGACTGCTATCATAGATTTTTTAATAGTTTAGTAAGTAATAATAATCTGATTTGTCATAGTGCTTTATTTTTTAATACTTCTACATTTAATAACTCATTTGATGAGGGACAAAGCAGTGTAATAAAATGAATTCAGGTTTTGAGCCCCAGCTCTATGGACCTTGGGAAAATAACTTAAAGCCTTCTGAACATCATTTTCTTCCTCTGTAAATGTGGAATATAACCTTGAGCACAGAATTGTAATGAGGATTAAATGGGATAATTAATGTTAAGTGCTTATTTCAGAGCATGCTATTAAGTCTTCAATAACCATCAAATGTCATTCTCCTCATCATCCTCATTGCCATATCATCATCTTCTTCCTCTTCATCATCATCCTCATCATCATTGGGGTGTTATGAGGATAATCATAGATAAAAAATATAATATCCTTGGCATCTAGTGGTGCTTCAAGTGGTAACAGTTCTATCTGCACAATATGTATCTTTATTTGTAATCAATAAGTTACACTAGATTGATATTCTTATTTATAATTTACAAATGGAAAAACTAAGAAAAATTCAATAATTAAAGTGCCACAAAGGATTAATACTAGCACTACCCAAATGGCCCACTGTCATGGTTAGGAGTGTGTATTGTAGAGCCATGTTACCTGGGGTTAACCCCTGAGCCAACCTCTTTGTGACTTTGGAAAAGTTACTTATCTTTCTATACTTCAATTTTCATCATCTCTAAAGTGAGATTAATGCCTACCTGTTAGCATTATTGTACATTTCACAGAGCCTTTGCAGTTGGGCCATGTTACTAGTTCTGGCCAATGAGCTGTAAGACCATTGTCACTTCTGGGCCAAAGCATTTAAGACCTGGTAAGTGATTTTCCACTTTTCTTCCCTTATTGTGGTGATCTGGAACTTAACATGTTGATATGGCAGTTTCATAGATCAAAACAATCTGGATTACTGAGTCACTGCATGGAGGATAACTCTCTTGGAATGTTATCTGACTTGCATTAGAAATCTCCTGGGCAAGAAATAAACTTTTATTGTGCAAAGTCAACTGAGATTTTTGGCTTACTTTTTTATGACAGCATAACAAAGCCTGTCCTAACTGTACAATCCTGATAATAGTTCCAGACCTAAAGCCCACCTACTGTATGTGTATTGAGAGCTCAGAGTAATGAGAGGATTATCTTTGAATGCATTACGGTCTTGAGGCTATTGACAAGATCAGTAAAAGTTACATTTCCATCCTCAGTTCTTCATATTTGACACTGGCCCAAAATTTCTCCCACTAGTGTCCCACTAGAAATTGCTGGCTATGGTATCAAATGCAGTTAGTAATGTGGCATCAGTGAATTTTTTAAGAGCCAATTTTCCTAATCATTCCCTTGCCCAGAAAGCAAGGATTAAAGACTCCCTAAGATATTTCAGCAGCCAAAAGTAAGTGACTTAGGTTGGGAGAAAGGAGAGGAGATCTATGTACAAATTAGGCATGGTTATTCACTTCTATAAAATAGTCCTTGATTGGTTTCAGAACTCAAATAATTTGGTGCCTTGTACACAATAGTACTCAATAAATGTTTGATGGTGACAGCTCAGACGTTGGAGGAACATGATCCAAAACCACTCAGGAATCTGGAAATAGCAGAGCTGCTTAGAAAATAGGAATAGAAGCAATTAATGAAAATGTTTATTGAACATTAGAGCATTCATTGTGTCATTTATTAAGATTTAAAGCTCTCTATTATTCTTTGATTTTAATCTAGGTTTTCCAGCATGACAAGAAATTTCCTGTTTATCAAGGGACCAAGTTAACAAACAGAATAGAACCCAGGGAGCACAGAGGATGTTACATTATGATTTTCAGAAAACTCAGAATGCAAATTTCTGACTGTCTTTCTTTAATTCCAGCCCCTCCCTACACACACATTTTATTTGGCAGCTTCCAATAAAGACCAAACTGAATAATATCGCGAAAGTTCTGGAGTCTAGCAAAAGTGCAAGCAAATGCATAATAGAGTTTATGAGTGCAAAGCTGCCTTTTCCTGTCAGGGCATAGTTGAGTATGTGAAATCATGAATTTTCAAGTCAATGAGAATAGCTCTGTGTTTTTTTTTGTTTGTTTTTTGTTTTTTTCAAAGATGGAGTCTCCCTCTGTTGCCCAGGCTGGAGTGCAATGGCACAATCTCAGCTCACTGCAACCTCCACCTCTCAGGTTCAAGTGATTCTCCTGCCTCCGCCTCCTATGTAGCTGGGATTACAGGTGTGCGCCACCACACCTGGCTAACGTTTTTTGTATTTTTAGTAGAGACGGGGTTTCACCATGTTGGCCAAGCTGGTCTCGAACTCCTGACCTCAGGTGATCCGCCCACCTCCCAAAGTGCTGTGATTACAGGCGTGAGCCACTGCGCCCAGCCTGAACAGCTCTGCTTTAACAGAGGAAGTTCAGAGTGATTCCTGGATGCTTCCTTTGCTTTGTACTAATGGGTATGCCCCAGACTCCAATCGGCTACCAACTTATTAACCAAATATGTGAACTACAAGGCTAAAAAATAAATAAGCACCCGGAATGTTTAAAGCTGCCTCAGACAACTCATGAAGACTTGGCACACAAGACAAGAGCAAACAGCTGTTGTCTCCATTCTAGAATTGAGTGAAGGGATCCCACCCTGAAAAATAAAATGAAACATTAAACTCTGTGGATTAAGAAGATTCCCTTATCTACCTCGTAAAATACATTCTTAAACTGTAGTTTAGCTTCATTTGATACAATTTCCTAAATCTCTTACGGATGATAGTTTTATTATGCAAATAGTTTTGTTGAAGTGTTTATTTTATAAACCAGCCAGAGGCTAAAATTCCCCACTGAGTCTTATTCTTTAGGTTTCCAAAGATACTCTCTTTCCTGTGAAATGCCAGACCATGAAAGACTGTTTGGCTGTGATTTGCACGAGATGAGGGCTGAATATGAAATAAATATTCAATAAGGGGTCCAGAGGGAATCAACATAGCTCTAAACATGTATCTATTGATCCACCGGACTCGTGATTGTCTAACTGATCATTGAACTGGTTACCTGAGTGGAGCATCTGTTCTTAGAATGACAAGTGAGTGTTTTGGGGAAATGGCCAGAGCAACTATTATTTTGAATACTTCGCAGCCGCCTCTACCAGGAACCTGTTAAGTTCACTTACAGTATACTTTCCAACACCCATATGGTGAGGGACATCACTCAGCCAACAGATGTGGCTTTATGGTTTCAGTGACTGTCTCTGCACATAGAGGGGCCAGGGATAGATAAAGGTGAGTGGGAACAGTCTTATGTCAATATACTGATTATTTGTTGTTGCCTATCAGCTTACTGGTGAATTAGTAGAATCTGTAACTATATATCTGATACATACCACATTTTATGCTTTAAGTACTGCAAATCAGCTGTTAAGATCCACTGATTTATTACTATTTTATATACCCTTTGCTAAGCTAGTGCAATGGGTACATTGGCAGTCCCTTTCATTAATATCCCATACTAGAGGATTTATGATGCTACCATTGACTCATAGAGATGTATTTTACATCTCTGCATTGCAAGTTAGAATGCAAAATAGATGAAAGCTTCATGATAAAAATGATAATTATTATTTTAAAAGAGAGGTTTGGTTACAATTGCAACAGTATTATCATTGCATTAAGGAAGTCAGTGATAACCAAGCTAGAAAGTCCCTGAAACTGGAGAAAAATGCAACTAAGAGTATGGTGTTAGAACGTTTCCTCAACCTGACTGGTACAAGACATAAAGTCTCTGACACCAGAAACATGGTTAAGTAGGACTTTATAGAATAACTGACTTAGAAGCCTGAATGAAGAGAATTCTTAAAGCTTTTTCCAGTTATTGATTTGTTTTCTCTTAGGAAAATGGCTTTGTAAATTTATGATTTCACAGATACCATATGTCATCTTTGCATTTTCTATAATATTTAGTGTTTCATGAAAAATATCACTTAGGATGTGTTTCAAATTATTTTCATTTTTAAAAATTAGGTTTTTGTTTTAAAATTCTATTATTTCTGGGACTATTCGCCAGGCTTGGTTTGCTTTATTAGGCTAGTTCTATAGCATCATGCACCAATACATCCCATTTAGTTGAAATGGGATCATCTACCTCATTTATATACAACATTTAAATTGCCAGTTATGATGGAAATGTTAGTTTGGCATATGGCCTTCTTAGTCACACTAGAATTGCAAAATAATGCCTTTTTTTTTTTTGAGACAGTATCTCACTCTGTCATCCAGGCTGGAGTGCAGTGATGCAATCATGGCTTGCTGCAGCCTCAACTTCCTGAGCTCCTGAGCTAAAGTGATCCTCCCACCTCAGCCTCCTGAGCAGCTGGGACCACAGGCATGCACCACCAGGCCTGGCTAATTATTTTTATTATTTGTAGAGATGAGGTCTCACTGTGGTGCCCAGGCTGGTCTCAAACTTCTGGCCTGAAGCAATCCTGTCACCTCAGCCTCCCAAAGTGTTGGAATTACAGGCATGAGCCATTGCACCTGGCCTGCCAAATAATGTTAAAGGAAGATATGCAACATCCATGGTTAAAAATAAATGTTCATATATAGGGCTAAGCTATCCGGGATGTTATTGTTCCGCTCTTCTTGTGGCTCTTGTCTTAACATTAATCCCTACAATTTAGAGAATATCTGCTGCCTTCTCGTTTATCAATAAAGAAATGGAGATATAAAGAAGTTTGGGACTTGTGAGAGCTGCTGAGTAAACTGGAGTCTTTTTTTTTTTTTTTTTTTTTGAGATGCAGTCTTGCACTGTTGCCCAGGCTGGAGTGGCACAATCTCGGCTCACTGCAACCTCTGCCTCCCAGATTCAAGTGATTCTCCTGCCTCAGCCTCCTGAGTAGCTGGGATTACAGGCGTATGCCACCACGCCTGGCAAATTTTTGTATTTTTAGTAGAGATGGAGCTTCCCCATGTTGGTCAGGCTGATCTTGAACTCCTGACCTCATGATCCACCCACCTCGGCCTCCCAAAGTGCTGGGATTACAGGCATGAGCCACCGCACCCAGCCAAGTTACAGTCTTTTAAAACCAAATCCTTTGCTGGTTCTACTGGCAAGGCTATGTTGAATTGTCTCACAGCTTCACTCCATTGCTTACCATTGTTTTACAATTGAAATTAGCTACATGAAAGCATTTGGGACTTTCTGGATACTATTAAAAGTTGCAGTTAATAATTACAAAGGCATCCGATGTTTCTCAGGTCACACCAAAAAAAAAAAAACCGGTCACATCACTTTCATGAACAGCGCTCTTCTGGCTTTTGTCTCTCCTCCATTGGGAGACTGCCCCCTCCCGTTCAATCTCCCCCATATCTCAGGGACTGTCTTGGGGTGAAGGAAGAAGCCTCACATGGGCTCATGAATGCTATTCTCAACTACTACATGATATGTCTGATTTTCCTTCCCTCCTTTTCCAGCTCCCATTGTTTTTGTGTGTGACAACTCCTCTGACTCCCCCAGTTTCCCCCAACCTCCCACTCCAGTGTCGCTGTTCCTTGCCCAGGTCGACGGCTGTCAGGTCACGTGCTCTCAGGCCCTTCAGTACCAAGCCTTTCCTTGGGCCAAAGCCTGCATGTGGTACAAAACTGCAAATGCTGTTAATTATGACAATGCCCTGGGACCCTGGAAGGGTGTCGCATCCAAGAAGAGCCCCTCTCCCCATCACTTTCAAGTTGCATTATGGTTTAACAGCATGAACTTTGGAGGCAGAGTAACTAAGTTCAAATCTCAGTTTTCCTACTAACTTGCCATCTGACCTTGGACAAGTTTCTTAACCTCTCTATATTGCAATTTACTTAAAATATGAATAAAAACACATCTCATAGACTTTAATAATTTAAAATATGCTTGGAACAGTGCATGGCATATGGTGGGCATTCTAAATGTCAGCTTACTTGGCTTTTAAGTGCCAAATCAGTGCCACCTGTGTTCCTAAAGCCTTAAGATGATGTTTATGGAAACAGTTCTTCTCATTTTTACTTTTAGTAATGGCATCCTCACTGTAATTTCAGATTTCATCAGAAGTCCATAGGGTCTGGATTGAAAGACCATCTAAATGAGACCTATCCCTCTACTTTGCTTTTAGACTGTAATGTTAATATTGAACAGGCCTAGAGTGTCTCCTTCAGATTCATTCTTTCCAAAATGTTACCCATTCCCCACACTAATGTCTCCTAGTGGGCAGAAGCCCAACAGACTTAAAGACACATCTGAATTCTAAAAAGTTTCAGAAGAATGATTTCTTTTAATTACAATACTCCTATAGGACAGGTTTTTTACAATGAACATTTATTCTGGGTAAAGCAAGTCTTCCCATACTTTTAGGAAGGTGTTCTATATACTCAAGCTTTGAGGAATCACATGTTTCAACTAGATCGGTGCAACAGAGTATAAATATCTTGAAAAAGACAATTTCTTGTCACTCTTCTCCTTTGCTCATCTTCTGCAGTATTTATTTCATAATTTAGGCAAGCCAAGGCAACATCAGTCAACTTAGAAGAGCTTATCTCATAAAAATTGCATAAGCTTTTAGCAAAACTCCTTCCTGCTAGCTAGCCTAATCTACAATATTGTCCATTCAGTAAGAAAAATTTGCTCTCACACTTTAAATCAACATGTAGGTAACCCACTATGTCCAATATTTTCTACTGTTTATTTATTTCCATTTTACTAAGCCCTGCAGGCCTTATTATGTAAGGTTTCTGACATTTAGCTATTCTCCATCTGATGCTCTCCAAATTACAGTGACTCCTTAATTAGAATACTCAGGAATCTCCAAATGTACCCTTTCTCTCCTATACTCTCTTGAAAATAATAGTATCATCTGTGGGCTTTTACCAACATCTGAATTCACATGTGACAATTTGGGTCCCTTGGCTCTTGGGCTTACCTCTTTGGACTTCCCGTCACTTGCCAGTGCTCCCTGCACTCACGCCAGCCTGAACAACTTGCAGTTTATGGAGAGTGTACTGCATTTTAATGGTACGCGCCTTTGCACACACTACTGTCTCTTTTCGTGATGCCCTCTGCCTCTCCTTCACCTTCCTCTGCCTGATTTACTTCCACTCATCCATAAAATCTCATTTTGAGTATCAGCTTTTCAGAGTCAGCCAGTCTGTTTAGCACTAAGGCAGTACATTGTTCAGACCCCATCATAGTATATGTGACCCTGTGATAGAAACAGCTGGTTTCCTTTTTTTTTTTTTCCTACCAGAAGATGTTCTTCTTGAAGACAAAAGCTCCGTCTTCTGTGTGGCTAGCATTACGTTTAGTACATAGTGGCTGCTCAATAAATATTTGAATGAATAAATGTATAAGGGAGGAAAATTAGCTTCCTTTCACCCTTCTAGGTTCTTTGGCTAGTCTACAGATTAAATTGACATAAGACATACTGACAGGAAGAAAAAAATTTTAATTAGGTGTCTATACATGAGGGTTCCACAGAAATATGAGACCCAAAGAAACAGACAGAAGACAGAGGCTTATACATCATCCCAAGCTACTGAAATGAACAGAGGTTTTGGGCTTCTAGGGGAGTGGAGGCAAATTATGGGAGGTTTGGGTGAGAAAATGTACAGTGAGCAAAGGTTGCCTTGTTATGGAGATAAAAGTCTCTCCATAACAAGGTGACTGGTTGTAATTCCAGCATTTTTGGAGGCCATGATGGGAGGATCTCTTGAGTCCAGCAGTTCAAGACCAGCCTGGGCATAGGAGAGTGAGACCCTCATCTCTACAAAAGTCTTTTCTATTAAAAAAAAAGTCTCTCGGGTGATAAAAGTTAAGTTTTGCTGATTAGCAAATACTGAATCATATTTGAGAGAAAATAGAATAAAATTATGTAGAGACTCATACATATTGGCATATGTATAGGGAACAGATATGTATATGCATAAGGAAGAGATAATCCAAAAAAGACCTGACTTATATTTACTTTGTTACACTTCTTTGGGTATAATTTTCCTTTCTAAGTTTATAGAAGTACTAATTAACATGAGAAGAGTAATTGAAATTTTTTACGTATTGTAATTCAAACAATGGCCCTAGAGCATAGGCATGTTTATTATATCCATTTTTTCAAATGGAGAAATTTGATATCCTGTAAATTAAGAGTCTTGTCCAAGGTTACAAATTCATAAGTGGTCAAACTTCAAACTTGGCCAGGCACAGTGGCTCATGCCTGTAATCCAGCAGTTTGGGAGGCCGAGGTAGGCAGATTCCTTGAGCCCAGGAGTTCCAGAGCAGCCTGGGCAACATGGCAAAATCCCATCTCTATAAAAAATACAAAAATTTAGCTGGGTGTGGTGATGAATGCCTGCAGTCCCAGCGACTCAGGAGGCTGATGTGGGAGGATCACCTGAGCCCGGAGGTCAAGGCTGCAATGAGCCGTGATCATGCCATTGCACTGCAGCTTGGGTAAAATAATGAGACCCTGTCTCAAAAAAAAAAAAAAAAACACACACACACAAGAAAAACAAAATTCAAACCCAGGTCTTCTGGATTCAAACATCGGGCTGTATTACCTGTTTTGTATGAGAATAGTAGCAATAATATTTAAGAACAAATATTGCCTAGAGAAACAAAGAAGATAGGTTTGTAAAAATCATGCGTAATAAACAGGCGTGCTCTGAAGAGCATGAACTCTGATGTCTCAATGCCCACAGGACAAATCTAGGAGCAAACATTTACTACCTTCATAGCCTTGGGGAAGGAAGTCCTTTAGCTTGTCCTGGCATCACTTTTCTCATCATTAAATTACAGACAGTAGTCACTGTCCTGAGCAGTGTTATGAAGATTAGAAATAATTTGTATAAAGTTCTTGGCACACAGTAGACACTTGTAAGCTGTTGTTACTCTTACTGTAGTCAGTGCCTTCAAAAGTCAGCTGCATAGCTTTGTACTGCATGAGGATAGCAACATAGAGGTAGAAGTTCATTAATGCTGAACATTGCGTAAAAGTGTATGAGAAACAATCATGTAAATTAAGAATACTGGTTTCATCCTGTTGCATCTTTTTTTGCCCTTCTTTTTGGACAAAGTATATTTTACATTTTGGAGCTTACTGTTTGTACAAATAGGAGGATCAAAAGCATCTTCCAAGTATGTGAATGCTTGATGACACAACAGAGGGAGCTTCCAAAGCAAATTTATTACTGTGCATTTCCAGGTAATGTAAGCAGAGATAATTATTTGTCATCCTTTGAATGTACTAAAGCAGATAAAAATACATTGTAATTTGCACAGCTATTGGAAAGATCTTCAGCATGGAACCATATGAGCTTGATGTCGGCAGCCCCCTACAGTGGAGACAATACTCAGTTATGTTTAAAAAATTGGCAAGTTCAGGGCAGCACATTCCTGCATACTTGAGGCTGCCTTGTTGATTTTCTTTCAACTCCAACCCAAGTCAGGCCAAGCTCCTTCACTGCAGAACAACAATGTGGCAACAAGGAATGAATTTTTCCCCACCCTTCATCCCCCAATTCCTCCCTTCAGACAAATCATCCTGCCCAGATTTCAAAGAAATCCCAGAGAGGCATTCTTGCTGTTATATCTCCAGGACTCCAGCCAGCACAAATCAAGAAAATGGTTTCCAGGTGCAGACAGTCTCCCCCTCTTCCCCCCTCACTTTAAAATCTAGTGATTGTTCCAAGCTTTAATCTGAAGATGGACGATAGGGGGAACAGAAGGGTAACCTTAGGATTCAAAAGCTCATAGAAAATTATTTTGCCTTTTTCATTTTTTAGAGGAGTCACGTCCATTCTCCAAAACATATCGCACAACCCAGCATGATTAATTCTGTCTCTTTTGATAAGCCTCAGACCCCAAATAACTAGGATACATTATCTGAACTACAGAAGGAGCCCTACAGAGTGAAGCTTTCAAAAAGGCAGTTCTAATCCAATGCTATTACTATCTCCCAGTCATTAGCTCCATTTTCACACAAAGCTGTAATTGGTAGGAAAAATTGCATACTTTTCACAATAGTCAGGGATTTGCTAAATTCAAGTAAAAGCAGATAATTATTGATAAACAAGAAAAATGGATTTGAAGGAAAATGTATTTGGGGAACTTTTCTAGACATAATAATATTCATAGCAGTGTAACAGCAAATGAGAGTGACATCGTTTAGAGAAGGTACCAGTGGCTCTGTTTCTCTCTTCTAGTCCGAACTGTAGTAGTTTCTCCTGTGTCCAAATACTAGGATATTCATTATTTTTGAATACTTCCGGACCTATGTTCATGAGGTTTTCCATATTCAGATATAGAATATCATTTTACATTGTCAAAATATAAAAATCTTTAGATTCTATTCTATAACTACAATGGAATTTTCTGTATTTTTCTAAGATCAGGTCTAAATATTTTAAAACATGATGATTTTTGTTTGTCATAAGATTATTATGTAAGCATTATTCACTGACTGGTGAGATTTAGGACTTATGAAGAGGAGAACGTAACTTGGTCCAATTTTGCAGCTTGGTCTACATGAAGGCCATGTTTCATGTGTCAAGTTGAACTATTTCTTTTTTGTTTGCCCCATCAACTCTTCAAAATCATGCAGATTATAATTTGTTTTATTCTTGGAAAGAACCAATTTGTACAGTTTTTTCTCCTTCTTGAGTTCCTAGTTTTATTATTATACTCTTTTTCCCTTGGTCATTTTATTTATGTGTCATTGTTACATTATTTTTTCTTGCTGAGAAAAAAATGTACGTATACTTTTAGAACTATATTAGTAAAATTTTCAGATTCCCATCAATTTGTTGAGTTGAAATCCACTTAACTCTCTTAAAATGTATTCCTCGTGGAGCCTTCTGAATTTCTATCTTACTTGGACTTAGTGTCAGAAACTTCTAGTGCTTGCCAATATTCACTTTCTCATCTTCTTTAGCACATAAGGAAGATGTCTCCAGGCTCCTTGCAGTTAGACGGACATCTCGTGCTAATACAACTGATGAAAGTAATATGCAAGCCTCCATGCTGGGTATATAGGCCTCTCCTATGTGTAATCATCTTTCTCTTTCTCTGTCCACCAACTGAAGAATGTCCCCAGGAGACAGAAAAGCCACAGGATGGAAGAATCCTGGTGCCTGAATGACAGAGTGGAACATACATCCCATATACACCAACCCACATAGGCATATGATGGGAGCAAGAAATTAACGTATATTGTTCTGGGCCACTGGGATTTGCAGACTGTTTGTTAGAGCCTTTAGCCTATCCTGACTAATGTAGAAATTGATATCTTGAAGTGGGCTGTTGCAGAAATGCAAAAACTAAAACATGGCATAGCTGTTGGGTAGAAGACTGAAAGAAATCATATCAAAGGCTAGAACCCTATGAAGACCTGCTATGCAGTGGTAGCTCCTATGGTAAACTGTTAGTTATGACCACTTCAAGGAGACCATATGCTAGCTGAGCCTGAACTTCCCAGGAAGTGGCTGGGAGTAGTCAGAGTAAATATGTGTTGTCTATTATTGGCTAAGATATTATAAGAATGAGATGAGTTTAGGTAAGAATTGGCTGGTTTGCAAGCAGAAATGAAATGAAATATAATCCAGAATTGGATGTCACGTAGAAATGGAAAAGCCAATTATTTTCTAGAATACAAACTCTAGGAAATAAAAGTTAAAGAGTGTTTAATCCACTGTAGCTTGTAAGGAGGCAGGTGTTACCCTCCCATTCAAGCTTGATGGCCTCAAAGTAGCCAAGAAATCAAGCTTGAATATTAGGTCTAGGAATAATCTTTGGATGTAGTTACTGGTGTCCAAACATGATTGATAACAAATAGATCGATAGTTTACATATTTTTGCAAGAAATTGTATTGCCAAAGAAACCACTAACCTTATGGTAAAGGCTATTAATCCCCTAAAACAGTGGTTCTAAACCAGAGATGATTTTGCCTTCCACGAGCCATTTGAAAGTTACAACTGGGGGAATGCTACTAGCTTTTGGGGAGCAGAGGTCAGGGATGCTGCTGAATACCCTACAATGTATAGGACAGCCCCACATAACAAAGAATTATGCAGTCCAAAAATATGCAGCCCAGGTTGAGAAACCCTCATCTAAAACAACACCAAGGTCCCTAAACTTTCATGAGGAGGAAGTGAATTTTCAAAGCTGAGGGTCCTATGAAGGGCACAGAACCCATACCCACTGCAGAGGGGGCCATAGAGGACAACTGACAGAGCAACACCTTCTAGTGGGCAGAACTAGAACTATGTGATTCTTGATTTGGCAGCACCCTGCTAATGTATACGGCACTCATTTATAGTGAAAACCTGGCAGGCCATAAACTCAGGTTGGCCATATTTGAGACTGTCTTGTTGGTTTTCTTTCAAGTCACACTTGATTGGTTTGATTGACAAGAATTAGTAGTTCAGACTAATTTTCAACATGCTCAAATCTTGCTTCACTGTTGTCTGACATTCAATATTGCTGATTAAATTCTAAAGCCCATCTGATTCTTGTTCCCTTGTGGGTGGCCTCATTTTCTCTCTGGAAATTTTCAGGGTCTTTCCTTTGTCCTTAGTATTCTAATATTTTACAAAGTTCTGTGTAGGTTGGGCTCTTGGTTCACTTTCCTTTCTGGGCATTGAAAGGGCCCTGTCTATAAAGTTCTGTGACTGTCTTCTGCTCTGGGAAATCATCTTCTATTATTTCTTTAATTACGCCTCCATTCTCTTTTTTTCAAGAATTCTTATTTGATAGAGATTGAAACTTGTGAACTGATTCTCCATGTCTCTTAACTTTTTGCTCGTATGTTCTCTTTTGTATTTTTGCTCTACATTTTGAAGAAACCTACAGGATAACACAGATTTCAAATTCCTTCTGTTGCTACCTTATGCTTAGCATCAGGTCTTAATTGCCAGAGGTTTCTCTTAGTGTTCCCACTCCAGTGGCAGCTTTCTGCAGGTTTACCAACCTGCACTACAGAGAGGTTCTCTCTCTGCATTGCTGCTTCCTCCAGGCTGCTAGGGCTTGGTAGGAGGCATTCTCAATTTCCTGCTCCTGCCTTTGCCTTAGGCAGGTTCTAGGAGCCGAGCTGATCCTCAGGGCTGTGTTCCTTTAGCATTCCTGCCCCTCCCCAGTAGCTACAACCTCCCCTCTTACAACAGAGCATAGTCAGCAGGGGTGGGTTTCCTGATCCTCCCCAGGGTCAGAGGGCTTCTGCCTCAAAGCACTTGCTAACATTGTGATTGTTTTTTTCTCACCTGCTTCTATGGTGGTCAACTCTTTGTGTCTCTGTTCTGGGCAAAAGGAAAGAGTTTGTGTGTCCATCTCTCCTTGGAAAGGCTTGACACCGTTGGGATTTCAGTTCACAAATTGCCTTGTGATCTCAGCTCTCTGATAGACCAGGAAAAGAAAAGATTTTGTTCTTGTCGTTAGGGTGAGACCGCTACTTTCCAGTAGCTTTCAATATCCTAAGCAGGAACAGAGGTCCAGTGTTTCTTTCTTAATTTCTAAAAACACTATTATTTTCCTGAAACCTTTTTCTGCAGCAACCTCTTTTATTTTAGAGATCTAATATACTCTTGGATCTCACTAAATTTATTACAAGCGTTTATTAAAATCTCTTATCTTTTAGTTATTTGTAGAGTTAATTGTTCTTTGAGTCCTTTGTTCGTTTTGAGGCTATTAATTTTTCTCTAATGTCTGGTGATTGTTGGTTTTCTATATGTAAAAATGAATAGTCCGGGAGCGGTGGCTCACGCCTGTAATCCCAGCACTTGGGGAGACCGAGGCAGGCGGATCACGAGTCAGGAGAGCGAGACCATCCTGGCTAACGCGGTGAAACCCCGTCTCTACTAAAAATACAAAAAATTAGCCGGGCGTGGTGGCGGGCGCCAGTAGTCCCAGCTACTCGGGAGGCTGAGGCAGCAGAATGGCGTGAACCTGGGAGGCGGAGCTTGTGGTGAGCTGAGATCACGCCACTGCACTCCAGCCTGGGCGACAGAGCGAGACTCCGTCTCAAAAAATAAATAAATAAATAAATAAAAATAAAAGACTCCATTGATTAATTATGTAGCTCATATGAGTTCCCTGCCCTCATATGCCACATTTCTGAATGAAAAGGATGAGTGGATAGGACAGGGCAACTAAAGCCTTCACTTTAGGTTGATGGCTGAGCCCTAATTCTACCCATACTTCAGAAAGTTTTTAATTGTCTTGAGATTTTCCTAATGATTTGTTTTTGGAGGGGAGGGAGCTCATGTAACCCTTGAAGTTAGTCCTAAAAATAGTCACTTAATTAATTACCCTGGTTTCTGTCCCAACCCTCTTGCTTTCCATACCTGCCAACTCTTGACATGGAGTCCCTGCACCCTGGGCAGAACACCTTTCAGTTTCTTTAGCCTCCACTGGTGTGCCAGACTGAGGGTTATGTGCTCTCCATTGTTAATCTGTACATTCCACAACCAATCCACTTTCTGTAATTGAAAAATATGCTAACATCTCGGTCCTTTTTGCATTCTTGTCATCTCAGTGGGCTTTGGGTATGATGAGGCATTAAATATAGGGATTCATTTCAGTCACTTGAACTGTTATTTCCTTCATTCATCCTGCTGGTCCCTGTTGTCTTAGTACATTTGTGCTGCTATAATGGAATACCTGAACTTGGATAATTTACAAAAAACAGAAATTAATTTTCTCACAGTTCTGGAGGCTGGAAAGTCCAAGACCAAGGTGCCAACTTCTGGTGAGAAACTTCTTGCTACATTCTTCAGAAGGGAGGAATACTGGATCCTTCTGCCTTCTGCCATGTAGAAGGGCAAAATGAGCAAGAGGGGGCCAAATTTGTGCTTTTATAATGACATTAAACCACCCATGAAGGTGGAGTCCTCATGGCCCTATCATCTCCTAAAGATCTCTCTTTTTTTTTTTTTTGGAGATGGAGTTTTGCTCTGTCACCCAGGCTGGAGTGCAATGGCCCAATCTTGGCTCACTGCAACCTCCGTCTCCCAGGTTCAAGTGATTCTCCTGCCTCAGCCTCCCAAGTAGCTGGGATTACAGGCAACTGCCACCACACCCAGCTAATTAGTTTTTGTATTTTTAGTAGAGACAGGGTTTTGCCATGTTGGCCAGGCTGGTCTCGAACTCCTGACCTCACGTGATCCACCCGCCTTGGCCTCCCAAAGTGCTGGGATTATAGGCGTGAGCCACGGTGCCCGGCTGATCTCACCTCTTAACAGTGTTACACAGCAACCAAATTTCTACATGACTTTTGGAGAAGACAAACATTCAAGCCATAGCCCATGCTTCTCCTTCATGCTTTTTCATGTTTTTCTTTGCTCCTCTTTCTTCACTGAGCCAAGCAAAAAATTCCCCACTTGCCTCATGCAAAATATTTTCTCCCTCTTTTCTTAATACTTGGTATCAGCTGATAGCAGCCACTTAGGACCCATACATTTCACCAACTGTTTACCTGAATATTTTCCCCAAAACATATATTTTATTCATTTCTAACAAGTAAATGTAAGGTATTAGCTACTAAGATAATACCATTTCTCTGACCTTATTATATTAATATACAGTGTATGAAAAGATTATTTTCACCCTATACCCCCCTCGAAGTATTTCAAGGGCCAAAATACTTTCATGACAATGCCATGTACTTCGCTAAATCTAACTTTTCTTGCCCATGTCCCAGTGCTTGCCATTGCAATTGCTAATGCTATTCTCTAAACACGTTTACATTGTAAACTAGCGCTCGACACCTGCCATTTCCCCTGACTGAACTACTGTATTCATCCTCTCTTTCCCTTTGGAAAATTATATCCAGCTTTAAGGCTCATTTGAAACCTCACTTCTTCCATCAGATTTCCCAGACATCCCAGCCTGATGTGGTACCTCACTTCTCTTCCCACTACTTCCTCTAACGCTAATTGGTTGATTCATCTGGTGCTACTTTACATTGCTGACTTGTTGCATTTTCATGTGACTGTAGTACATCAGAAATAACATTAGATTTGACATAGAGAAAATATATTTTACTCAGCCTAATTGCTTCCTATGTGTCACTTTTGCATCACTTGGCCTTTCTCATCTCAGTTTTCTCATTTATAAAATGAGAAATACCTATTTACATACTCCACATATTGGGGACACTCCAATCTACTTCAGAGAGCTGTTGTGATGATTAAATAAGATACTATGGGTTCAGTGTCTAACACAGTACCTAACTCATCACAGTTGCCTGACTAAACTGGTAAGTATTGGTTTCCTGGCCCCCGTGTTAGTTTTCTATGCTGTGTAACTGATCATCATAAACTGGCAGCTGGAAACAGCACACATTTGTTACTGCATTGTTTCTGTAAGTCAAACGGGCACAGTATAGTTGGTTCTCACTCAGGGTCTCCTCAGGCTGAAATGAAGGTGCCAGCCAGACCATGTTCTCCTTTGGAGCTCAGGGTCCTCTTCTACGCACATACGTGTTGTTGGTGTTGTTGGCAGAAGTTACCTCCTTATGGTGATAGGTCTGAGGTCCCTGCTTTCTTACTGGTTGCTAGCAGAGGAACACCCTCAGCTCCTGGAGGCCACACTCAGGTCTTAGCCACATGGTTCACTCACAACATGGCAGATAAATTCTTCAAAGAACAGGAGAATCCCTCTCCTATCTGATAAGACAGAGGTTTTTGTTTTGTTTTGTGTTTTTGAGACGGTGTCTTGCTCTGTCTCCCAGGCTGGAGTGCAGTGATGCGATCTTGGCTCACCGCAACCTCCGCCTCCTGAGTTCATCTCTTGCCTCAGCATCCTGAGTAGCTGGGATTACAAGTGCGTGCCACCATGCACAACTAATTTTTGTATTTTTAGTAGAGACTGGGTTTCACTATGTTGGTCAGGCTGGTCTCGAACTCCTGACCTCGTGATCTGCCCACCTCGGCCTCCAAAAGTGCTGGGATTACAGGCATGAGCCACCATGGCCAGCTGACAGAGTCTTATATACTTCAGTAAAGTCAAAAGAATGATTTGTAGCTGAGGACATGAAAATGGACAGAATGGTGCAAGAATATTTTCATTTATCCTTAATAGTATTACTTTTGAATGAACAACTAGATGAGTGAAAGAAAGAGTAAGTTCTAAAAATGGACATGCATGCCTGTTAAACACTGTTTTTTCCTTTGTATTGTGTAAAATTTGTGTTTGAAGAAGTCATGTCAACCCATTTTCTAATGTGGGTAACAGAATATACTGGGTTGTGATCACTAACCAATGAAAGTGGTAAGAATCATATTGCAAATAGATAATGAATCTCTGATGCTTTTATTCATACTAATGAAATAAAGTGCCCTTTGAGTCATTCAAATTCAAGCAGATTCAAGTTGTTGTTATTTTTAAGAGACAGGGTCTCGTTCTGTCACCCAGGATGGAGTACAGTGGCACAGCACGATGGTGGCTCACTGCAGCCTCAAACTCCTGGGCTGAAGTGATCCTTCCAATTCAGCCTCCCAAGCAGCTGAGACTGCAGGCATTTGGCTCCATGCCCGGATAATTTAAAAATTTTTTTAGACATGGGATCTAACTCTGTTGTCCAGGCTGCTCTTGGACTCCTGCACTCAAGTGATCCTCCTGCCTTGGCCTCCCAAAGCACTGGGATTACAGGCATGAGCCACCATACCTGGCCTCAAATTCAAATTTTTGTGACTTGATTTTTATAAACTATCATAAAATTAAGGTTACCTGTTTTTATTTTGGTGCTGTATCATTAAACTCATGCTTTGGAGAATCCCACAAATTTATTAAGGCAATAAAACACATACATGATTTTCTTCTCACCAACAATGCTGCTTTGATAATAAGTTTAATATTTCTCTTTGATTCAAACCAACAAATACTCGTTGAGAAACTGTTATGCTCATAGTGTTGTATTTGGTGCTTTGAGGTATATATAAATAAGATATGGTTTATGCAAACAAGTAATTTACATTTTAGTGTGAGAGACAGGCATAAATTAATTCTAAGTCAAAATACAAATTGCTCATTGCAGTAAAAATGTTACAGATAAAAGGCTGTGACAGCCAGCGTGGATTGAGGGAGTTTAGTTCTGCATAGGGAAATCTGGGTCAGCTTCTTAGATGAAGTGGGATTTGAACTGGGCCTTTCAGGAGGATTAGGACTACAACAGGTGGAGATGGATGAAAATGGCAATCTGAGATGGGATCATAGTTTATATAAAGGCAGAAATGAAAAGTTTAAAGTGCTCAGGAAGCCACTAGAGTATAATTCATAATGTGTGCTATCAGGAGGGACAGGGCTGATGAAATACGAGTAAAAGACTGGATACACAGAGAAAGGAAAAATCATGGCTACCTCGGATACCAGGATGGAAAGGTTTCTGGTTATTACATATGTGATGAAGCCCCATTGAAGGTTTATAAATAGGAAGTGACAGGAATAGTCTTAGAAATAGGTCCTGATGGCAGAGAGAGAAAGAAAACTGGAAGTAGGGAGCTATGTTTGGAGAATGGTGTGAAACTAATTTAATTAATATTTCTTGATTGTCTATAATCTACTCAAGGATGTGATAGCACTAGAAATTTGAAAGAAAAATTTGAAAAAAACACAGTACCTACCCTCAAGACAAACTATGCCACTTTCTGCTGATGTTCTGCTGTTTCATGCCTCTGTGCAAAAGTATGGCCATAGTGTCAAGATAATAATAAAACATGATGGGAGGAAAGGCTAAAATGATGTTAATAATTTGTAAAGGGTCTTGAATCAAACACTAGGCTTTGAAGAGTTGATACGAAAATTTAAACAATTATTTTAGAAAGATAATTATAATGCAGGGCAGGAATGTAAACAGGAAAAGAGAAAATCTGGCAGTTGAGAGTTTATGTTGTAGGCCATGGCATATTTACATGGAAATTGATCAGGGCCTAAATGAGGGGAGAAATGGCATATTAATAAATGAGCTCTGAGAGTGGGAGAAGTGAAAAATTGGGTTAAGAGCCAGGTGCAAGATTTAGCTTTGGAAATGATAAGACCTCCCCAGCATTGAAGACCTTTTAGGTGACCAAAAAATGGGATACTCGGAAGCTGTAAGAGCTCATACTTGCTCACTTATTTTTTCTCTGTTGAGAAGACAAAGTCAACCTTGTGGCAACATGTGGATTCTTAGGAGAGTGATGAAGATTGAGTAGCTCCTTTTGAAGGTATTATGAGAAAAGCCTGGGACTGTAATGTCGCCCACCCCGTCCAAACTGGGAAGAAGCCAAGAGATGAAAGAATGACTTGGACAAGTCCAACTTGGTAATTAGATGAGTTTATTAGGACTTATAGGCAGGGTGGCAGCAGGACAACTCCAGAGATCTGCCCTGTCTCCCATCTCTAAGCTGCTTTAAAGTTAATTTTCTGGCTCTTTGCCTACTGTGTATGAGAGCAGTGAGACTGTTTTCCTTAATATGTTCCCAGCTATGCCTCAGGATGTTTGGGTTCTCAGGGACACCTGCTCCTCAGCTGGGCACCATGGCCTTGGCCCAATGCCAAGCCTTCAGGGTTCAAACAGCGGACATACGCACTTAAGTATCCTGGTGGGGAACCCGTCATACTACAATCCATCAATCTATCCTATCTCCCAGCTCTTACGTTCTTTCTACCAATCTTGTGTATGAGTCTCCTAGTGGGATACGAGGGTAAGAACTATATGGGCCTATAATGCATAGCCATGGCTTGTGCATTAGACCACATCTACTGTATACACAGTAGAATGAAAAGCAGAAGCAAGCTGAAATTATGATGCCTATTAGCAAAACATAACTCCAATGAGTAGATAAGGTATATAACCAATTTGAGAATGAGTCAAAGAAACCTAATTAGGTTGTATTATGGATCTGAATTGACAAATGATTTAAAGCATCTGTGACATTACTTTCTTTTTTGCTCTTTTTCGTTTCTTCTCCTTTTACTTTTTAGAGACAGTGCCTCTCACTCCGTACCCAGGCTGAAATACAGTGGCATGAGCACAGCTCTCTGTAGCCTCGAACTCCTGGGCTGAAATGATCTTCCAACTCAGCCTCCTGAGCAGCTGGGACTAAAGGTGCACATCACCCAGCTAATTTTTATTTTATTTTATTTTATTTTTGTAGAGATGGGATCTCATTATGTTATCCAGGCTGGTCTTGAACTCCTGTGCTCAAGAAATCCTCCAATAGGCACAACAGGTAGTGGCTATAAGGGCACATGTTGTTGCGTCTCCGTAGTATTGGCGATCGGGCCTCTGGGTGGAGGCCACCCCCAGTGAGCCTGGGTTGCCGTATTGGTACTGTTAAACCAGTCACTCTGTGTTGTCGAGAGAAAAGCAGAATATTCCAAAGCATATTATTACCATTTGACAGGGGTAGGTATTCATATACCCAGCAGTCATACTGGTTGCTAACTGCAGCTATACTCACAGCCCAATCTAGGAAGATATTACCAGCTGCCATGGATAGCAGGAATAACAGCCTATGGGCATAAACACAGGTATATAGCAGGGACCCTTGTGGGTGTATCCATTTTTCGTAACACTATTACCCCTGTGTTTTCTCCCGTTGGTCCTATTAGGAAGGCTGCTATGGGCTTCAGGTCTCACTTACAGTACCACACATGGCTTTCCTCCCTGGAAGGGGGCATAGTAGCCAATTGGTAATTTTCTGGCCCTGTCTATGTACCCACACTATGATGGCTCCAGCAGGTATTGGTGCTGCCACATGTTGATATAATAAGTCTTTTGGATTTCCATCAAGGAGCACAGCTGGGACCATATCCCCTCCAGCAGTCTTCATGGTACACTCCAGTGCCATAAAACCAATCCAACGTGGAGGTATTTTCAAGCTCAACTTCAGGTCCACATAGCCATTGTTGCTTGGCAGACCCACTGGTGCTCTCAGGAGCAAGGTCTGGCCATATGCTTCAGGAGCATGGCTCAGTGTCTCAGATGTAACCCTGAGAGTTTGTAGGGCCTGTTTTATAGGCTTTGCCAATCATTTACAGGAAGTGATGTCATGTGTGGTACAGGGGGCTTATTTAAAGTTTGTATGGCTTCAGGGAGATTCTTAGTCCAATATCTTAAAGAGCCATCCTGGGACAGTGCACATAATTGGGTTTTTAACAGGCCATTTTTTTTTTTTAAATGAGGCCTGCCCCTGTTGGGTTATATGGTAACTGGAACCTCCAGTCTATGGTTTTTCCTGATGCCCAGGTTGAGTACCATAGCCTGTGAAACGGGAGCCCTGATCACTGTCTATTCATCTTGGCATGCCATACATGATGCTGAGAGCAGTGAGACACGTGATGTCCTCCGTTTGTTGTAATGCCCTATATACAGCCAATAGCTATTGCTCTGTTTGTGTCTGGTCCCATTTTTCACCTTTCCTTATTAGGGTGTCTAATGGGTGGAAGGTTTCTGCCAGCTCACTGAGGTCCACCAATGTTTTCCCCACATTATAGATTTTATTATGTTTATTTTCCATTAACAGTCTCAGAAGTGTAACCATTGCTCCATATTATAACCCTTTTTTAATTGGAAATGACCCAGCCATCCAGTAAGTGTCTAAAATAATTTTAAAAATTTAAACTTTACAAAAAGTTTACCTACAAGCATTCATCTCATTTACATTTATTTAGTTTTAGCAGTTTCCCTACATTACTCATGAGAACCAAGACATTAGACAAAGCTAATCATTGTTCCAAGTTATTTCCCTGTTAGCCATTTGCATAGCTTGTGAATATCAGGTGTTCACATAAGTAAGTAAATGTAGCTGTTTTTATTGAACCAACAGTATTCAACTGGTCTTGCTTGTTAAAAAATTACAAAAGATCCTGTTTTTGGCTGGACGTATAGTCTCATAGTCTCATAATCTTTATATCAAACCCTGCCTTTTTTTTTTTTTTTTGAGACGGAGTCTTGCTCTGTCACCCAGGCTGGAGTGCAGTGGTCTGATTTCGACTCACTGCACCCTCCACCTCTGGGATTCAAGCAATTCTCCTGCCTCAGCCTCCCAAGTAGCTGGGACTACAGGTGCATGCCACCACACCCAGCTAATTTTTTGTATTTTTAGTAGAGATGGTTTTCTCCATGTTAGCCAGGATGGTCTTGATCTCATGATCTCGTGATCCGCCCGCCTCGGCCTCCCACAGTGCTGGGATTACAGGCGTCAGCCACTGTGCCCGGCCAAATCCTGCCATCTTAAAACATCTAGTAGTGGCAAATATAAAACTTATCTAATCAGCAAACCCAGACAAAATCGTATACTGACAATTTCAAAGACATTTCCATTATTATTTTACTAATAATTTTAAAGCCAGCTTATTTATTAAAGATTACTAAATTCACATGAATCTGAAAAGCATTTGGACTTAATTTATGAGTACTCATTTACTTATAAGCCAATTTGGTTTGCATATTAGATATAACACACATATGTAACATACATAAATATATCTAAACATGTATACACACAGACAAATAAAGATCCAATAGCTTTTACCTTGGAACTCTAGCCATGAGACAGCATCATAAACTTATCAGCTTATAAAGAGAGATGGATCCAAATTATATTTCTGAAAAAAGTGGGACCTGTTAACGTGGCTAAACTTTATTTGCCTGATAGGTAATCCAAGCAAAGCTGTGGATCAAAATTTTGGGCAAAGCAGTTTCTTTGGCAGTCTGATTTTAAAAACCTCTTGTTATTATTATTTTAAAATTGAGTTTCAAGTTAGTTTCCAATGTTTACATTTTATTTAGAACTGGCTGAACTGTATAAGAAAAATAAAATCTCCAAGTGATTTTGAATTAGCAGTACCATAAACAGTGAGTTTCATCTCAACACTGGTAGGTTAATAACAGCAGATAAAAAGCAGGAAGAAAAGAGAGACAGAGAGCTTCAGAAGACTCTATTTAACTCTATAGTTGCAGTTTAACCATTTGAGCTCTGAACTTTTCTTGCTGTAATTTGCCCGTCAGTTTTAAAATGTGCACAAGAATGGGCCATAACATGTAACCAGTGGGAGTCCTAGAAAGCCTGGCATGCCTTTGAACTTTTCTACGTTTTTAAACATGTAAGCCACCGAAGTTCTTACCCTTTTATCTAGCTTCTTTGCCAAATCCCCAGCCAGGACTGACATAAACACTTGAATGTCCCATGTCCCTTTCTTTTTTCTTTTTTTTTTTTTTTGAGACAGAGTCTCACTCTGTTGCCTAGGCTGGAGTGCAGTGGCACAATATCCACTCATTGCAACCTCTTTCTCCCAGGTTCAAGTGATTCTCCTGCCTCAGCCTCCCAAGTAGCTGGGATTAAAGGCACCGACCACCACACCCAGCTAATTTTTTTGTATTTTTAGTAGTGACAGGGTTTCACCATGTTGGCCAGGCTGGTCTTGAACTCCTGACCTCAAGTGATCCACCTGCGTCAGCCTCCCAAAGCGCTGGGATTACAGGTGTGAGCCACCGCTCCCGGCTGTCCCTAAGTGCAGCTCCTCCTTTAACTTTTCTATCTCCTTCTCCTGCTCTAATGATTTCTCAGTAGCCAGCCTCACCCAAAGCAATGGCCAGCCTGCTGCAACAATGCTGTGTTTGCCATCCTTATTGTATTTTAACACCTTAGCATCCTGTAGTACATGTTCAGGCCCTGCCTGTGCTTTCAGAGCATTCCCATACTCACATGGCAGCCCACAAAGGTCAAGCAGCCAGGCAACTTCACCCCACATGGTTGATGCCAATCACCTCAGGGTTCCCTCTGCAGATACTCCTCCCTGACTCATCGTTTGATCTCTGGGGTCCTGTTCACGATGCCAACTATTATAAGAAAATCCTGGGACTTTAATACCCGCTCCAAACTGGGAAGGGGCCTGGAGAGACAAAAGGACAACTCATACAAGTCCAGCCTGGAGAGTAAATGAGTCTATCAGGACTTACATACAGGACATTCTTGGGTGGCAGCAGGATGGCTTTGGAGATCTGCCCCGCCTCCCATCTCTAAACTGTTTTAAGTTAATTTTCTGACTCTTTGATGACTGTGTATGTGCGATGAGACTGTTTTCCTTGGTATGTTTCCAGTTATACCCCAGGACGTTTGGGTTCTCAGGGACACCTGTTGTTTGACTGAGCCCCATGTCTTTGGCCCACTGCCCAGGCCTTCAGAGTTCAAGGAGTGGACATGCACCCTTAAGTAACCTGGTGGGGGACCCATCACACTACAGAAGGATTGGAGTGATACAAGACAAAGGACAAGAAAACCTACCAACAGTGACTGGAAGCTGTATCTTTGTGGTAGTTTCTATTTGCCTATCTACATAACATTTTTCATTTGTGCCCTGGTACATTGAATATGTGAGGGTGTTCTCTGTCAGAAAGTCAAATGGCTTAGTCCTCAAATACAGGTATAAGTCTTAGCCCTTGAGTCCTTCCAGGTCACCAATTTTGGCAATGCAGGCTGCATACTGCCCAGCTCCAAGGCCACCATTCACAGAGACCACAATGTCAGTGGTTCAACTGAAGTCATCCAACATGGTGACCCCAGGTACAACTAAAGATGGAGATGTTATGAAGACATCCTTGTCCTTGGATGATGAGGAGCTCTTCTTCATCTCTTATACTCTGAATAGGAGTGGAGGAGGAACTTCTCTGCACCTGCTGAGGCCCTAAGTCCTACTGCAAGAGAACGTGAAGATCTCTCTTAGCTTAAGGTGGATGGTGCATTGAGTCCTGGGTATAGACAATGGCTTATTTCTCTTGTCTTTCCTGTAGACAGCTCACCTTTGGTCTCAGAAAAGGAAGAAATCTTGTATTTTTTCCAACAGAAAAAGGATTACACAATTTTCCAAAAAAAATAAAATGTGTGTTGCTGAAGTAAGGTGTCTTTTGTCCAGCTGACTGTCCTTGGACACACATTCTCTAGACCTGCTACATTTCCTGGATCCCTTGATTGTTAATTGCCCTGCCCCACCAAACCCTAGATTTAGTTTAATCTAACTGCTTCAGGAAGTGGCAAGGCAAGCAGGAAAAAAATGGGAATTTTATGCCTGAACAATTTTGATTCTGCTACTTAATGGTTATATATTTTTCTAAATCTTGGTTTTTCAACCATTATTAAATGCATTAAATATTACTTGTTTTACAAGTTCAGTGTGGGGAATAAATGAGATTACCTATATACAATGTCTAAGGATGACAGACAAAAACCATTTAACAAATGTGAGCTCCATTTCTTTATTTCCATGCACGGGTAGCACTCTTTGTATTAGTCAAGAAAGCCTTGTATGAAATCAAAATGGTAGACCCTCTTGAAGATTCAACTTAGGCTTATCTGAATAATACTGTCAGTGAATGGGCAAAAGTAAGGAATCATCTTTCTCCATTTTATCTCATAATCAGAATACTTTGACTTCAGCTGTAGAATCCTGAATTTCCCAAAGACATTCCTGCCTACTAGAACAATTCTTGGCTAATCTTCTAGTGGGATTTCCTCTTTTTCTCTTTCTTTACTGCTTTCATTTTCTATATAGCTGAAACTTCCTATTCCATGTAACTCTCTTTAAGAGAACAGTCACACTGGTAACTTGTCATTAATTTTAGAAAGTCTGTCCACCTAGATCCCCTTGGGATGTTTTACACTGGCAAATAGATGCCAGGAGGAACAATGGCAGTGGTATCTGAATCTACTCCTTGTCGAGGTCTAATTTTTATACCACAGAATTGCATGAATTTTGAATTTTCCTTTGCTTTTGGGATCTGATGCCTGGGCTTGTTAAAAAAAAGTTCAAATTGGTGAACAGAATCATGAAAATGTCTTGGAGTTTCCTTATAGAAAGTTTCAAGAAAAGCAGAACTCTAATACCACTATGCTCAGGTTTAAAATAGTGCTTTATTTGTAATACAGTAATAATTTAGTAATATAAATTACATATAATTCATATTACTCTCGTGCAGGGATTTTATTATTTGGATTCTTGGTAAACCATGTTTTCTACAAAATACCCAGAGCCTCCATGATCAACTCAAAACAAAGTATCCAGGAAAAAGATACTGAGAAGTTCCACCCACTTTGCTACACTACTATGGTCTGTGTTACTTATACCTTTACTATTATAATACATCTGTTTTACAGTTGAATATTAATAGTGAGGGCTCCAGGCGGTATTATTATAACTAGTGTAATAACTTTCTTGGAATAGAATATCACACTAACATATCCTCAGAAATCATTATGTCCATTCTCCAAGGGACAGTCCTGTGATTCAAAGAGATTAAGCATCTATTCTAGTGAGTAAGAGTGCAAAAACAGAGCCTCTAGCTCTACAGTCTTTCTACGATGTCATGCCCCACTTTTAGGTATACAGTATCAAAGTCAAATCAAACTGGAAATAGGATTTGAAACTGACAAGAGGATTGTGCAGTTACAACCCTATAATAAATACCAAAATCAGTTTCATATGTGAGATTTATTTTTTCCCTGTCTTGTTATCTTATGTCATTTTATTGTGGTATAATCATAGCTGTAGAAACACAGCAAGTCTTCAAAAAACAATGGTGATTCTGTGTTTACAGAGAAATCTAAAAATTGGATTTGGCTTAAGCCCTTTAAATCAAACTAATTCCCTTTCTCAGGTTAATGCCCCAAGGCTAACATAATATACGGAGCTTACAAGACAGTGTTAGTGTTGTGTTTAAGATGAATGGTTTATTCAAATCCAAAGAGCAGCATCTTTAGTAAAAATTTTAGCTATGTGACAGTGAAATTTAATTTAGTATAATGAAAATATATCATATCAATTTAATAATTTTGTCAAATTTGAAATTTTCCCTCTAAAAAAAACTATACTTATGCAAAAAAGTCCAGCAAGGCAGCTGTTAATATTTGTTCTTTTTGTAAAGTAAATGGTTATCTTTTCTCTACCATCCAAATCAAATAAAGCAGATTGAAAAATCAACTAAAGCAGAAATTCACACTTGCAAAAGTTTAAGCACATAAAACTGTACCAACTGATATATGAGGTTTTCAAAAAACATATTCCCAATGCTTCTCTTTGAAGCTATATTTAATATGGGGCTATAAAGATGCTATTCCCAGAGATAGGGAAAGATGACAATAATCAGAATTCTTCCTAAGAATTTTGCTCATTAATGATTAAAACTTCTCACAATGATCTGATGAGATCACAAGATCAGGCTTTGAAAATCCGCCTGGTGCTGCTTTCCCACAATCAACACATACTTTACCACCTGCTCTGGGGAAGCTTGACCCTGTCTGGCAATGCAACAAATCTCCTCTTCAGGAACTGGAATTGCCAACAACATCTCTAAAGGGGAAATTAGAACATCTCTAAAGGTGAACTATGGCTCCAGAAAGGAAATGCTAAGCATCAGCCTGGGCTTCAGGTCAAAGTAATTTAATTTCAGGCGCTGTTCACTGAAAAGCTTGAATGCTAGGATCTGATTTGAATCGTTTGGCTTTGTGTGTGAAATCTGTCACTGATATAGAGATGCTAGAATTTTTCATGTGTATCTGACATGATGTCTGGATACATTACGGAGTTGTAACTGTCCTGCTGGGCTGTAAGCATCTGAGATTATTTGAAAGTTTCTTTGTGCAAGCCCTAAGGATTCAGATTTAATTGTTTAATTTCAGTGAGATACAGTACTGCATGGAAAACAGGATCATTCTCAACAGAATTGAGGGAATTGTGTAGAAGCGAGTAGTCATTGCAAGCTAAAAGGGTCACAGACATAGGGCTTTGTTACAAACTTTACACTAGGAAAAGAATTCAAGGTAAGACTAGGCCCTTAAATTTTCAACAGGCTGGAGTCTGGTTTGGGATCATAACCTGTGTATGTAAGATGGGTACATCTTTCCTATAAGTGTGCAGGGCTGCAAAGCATTTAGAGCCTTCCCTGGGGACCAGGGGGAAGTGGGGGCCTAAGTGGCTTTTCTTGGGTTGGCAGAAATAACCCCTTAGAGAACTTGTAGCAGATGAGTTAATTAGTAATCTAAATCTATGGTGAGGAGAAAAGGGCCCATTAGTCTTCAGGCGATCGTTTTCAGGATCTTAGTGTGAGTCTTAGTCACAGAAGACTGCCTTGTTGCCGGGGTCAAAAGAGTTGGCAATGGAGAAGTGGGAGTCATGATCTGATGCACGAAGCCCAGGATTCAATAATGGGCTGAAGTTTTCTGTGGGACAATTCAGTTCAGCTTAAATCCAAGGCACAGATTCATCCCCAAGAACTAAAAAGACAACAGTGGGCCTGACATTTTCTGTGGCACCTTGAGCAGTCTGGGGCTTATAAACTATCCCAATCTTGTTGGAGACCAAGTTCATGGCAGTAGAATTAACTCAACACCTTGATGGAACTGACTGGATTCATATGTCACTTCCCCTAACAGGACGGCACATAGTGGGCACTCAATAATTACTTCCCTAAGCAAAATGGAACCTGGTGTTTGGAAATCCTACAATAGAGTTGTATATTATGAAATTGATGAAATACAGACACTGTTCAATACAAATTAAAATGTTTTGTTACAATCCTTTAAATGAAGTTCTCTTTGTACATTTTGCACACCATTCTCAGTGTAGGCACAAGGTGTAGGCAGTGCTATTTGTCTTGTGTATTTATTTCTACTGGAAAAAAAAATAAGGTCAATAGGGTTGAACTGCTAATTCAATATCACAGTTGAGATGGAGCTCAAAAAACCTTACTTTCATGAGTTCTTCTGCTTTCTAACCCAGAATTCTTACCCCTGAATTCTCTGTGGCAGCGGAAACTTTGAGACATAGATTAGAACAAGTATCACCAGCATCTTCTCTTGCTCCAGAACAAAGCCCCACTCTAATCAGCCTGGCCTCATGCTACTCTAGGCTCATCCTAAATGATTTCACTTTAAGAATTTCTACTCCTGGTTTTCTTCTCTGTCTTCTCCTACTGAATTTTTTTTTGTATCTTTCAAAGCCCAACTTAACTACTGTAAGAAATGCTAGGAATCACACCATCAGAACTAGAAGAGTCATCCTATTCCTGCATTTCTGTATTTTACAAAACCATCCTACACCTGTAGGATGACTCTTCCAGTTCTGATGGTGAGATTCCTAGCACTTAGCACATATTTTCCTCAAGTGCTTAACAGCTTTTTTCCTCCAAGCCTTGGAAGATATACGTAGGATCAGAAATCTTATTAACATATGTATTCCTTGAGCATTCCTTTGAACAAAAAGTATGAAACAAGGTATATAATATTAGACTATTTATCCTCATTGCTATGAGATTTGGAATACATGATCTGTAAGAGTTCTTTTATATCTGGAGGTATGTCTCATCATAAGAGAGTCTGTTCATCAACCCTTTGAAGACAATGCAAAGCTCAGCCTAGATGATTAGACGATGCTGGGAGTGGTTATGTTGCCCAGTCAGTGACATGGAAGGCCTGTGAGGAAAAGGTAAAAAACTAGAGAATAGGCTGAACTGTGGAAGTAGAACAAATGATAGGGAGAAACTTGCAGAGCAGGCACAGAAGTTGGCATCGGGGAAGGGAAGGGATTCAACAGGTGGCAAAAAGTGTGGATCTGGCAGGAGGGTATCTCATGCCTTTAGGAAGTTGGGACAGCAGGTAGCAGGTACCTACACATAAAAAGATGGAGTTCACGGGCAGAATGACAGCAATGAGATGACATGGGGAAATGGAAAAGTTGGGGAAAATTTAGTGAAATGGGGCAGAGAGAAAAATAAATTGTGAGCCTAAATTGTTTAGTAGGCTTTATGGTCAGAGCCAGACATTTTTGTTCAGCAGTTCTGTACAAAAGCAGAGACAGAATGCTGTTGGTTTTGCCTCCTTATAAGTCCCAGGAGGCCAGCCTAGACTAAGAAACTGATCAAGGCTGAGTCTCCAGGGTTTTAGTGACCTCACTCTGAAGGTTACATCAAGGCAGGAACGGGGAACCAAGCAGGTAGTTAGAAGAGTCTATTACCTGCCTAGAAAAGCAAAATAGATTTGAATTTAAGACTTGCATGCTTCTTTGAAGATGAGTTAATATTTATACAAGGCAAACTTTGATGGAACCACTGCTGATTGCAAAAGAGATAGAATGTGCTCTGAGAGGGTAGGCAGGTCAGATTATAAAAAGAAATTACTATAATACAAGCTTCTTTACAATTCACAGATTTCTCTTCCAAGGCATATTTTGTCAGCTGATTCTGTCATAACCTGCAGTTATCTTTCTGCCTTATTTCTTTCTAAACACACACACACACAATGTTATTTAGTCAGTGTCTTCTGTAATCTTTGTATTTTCAAAAATGTTTTCCTTTTGCCTCTTTTTTATGGTGAAATGTGTCATTTTTGACTCTAAAATAGTTGGAATAGTTTTTACTATCTCTAAAGCTCATGTAAAATGAAATCATGTGCTTTCAATCCCTTACATTCCAGTTTCCTATTCTTGTCTTTTGTACCAGAAACTATTTCCCCTTCTAGTCTTTCCTTCATCTCTATAACCATGCTTAAAAATTCTTCCCAGATAAAACAAAATGAATGTACAATGCTAGGTAGGAGTATTTATATAGGCTGTGCACATCATTATTTACCCCTCATATGCCATGAAAATACATATACTTATATATCCTAATTTAGTTTATTGTAAAGTGGGAAGGTTAGCCAGAGCAGTAGAAGAGATTCCATATATATGCAGAAACACACACACACACAAATATATATGATATCTTTATAATCTATATCATATGTCTATATCAACCATATGTATGTTTTTCATATGTATATATATGAGGAAGGATGAGGAGGGTTTTTTACAAGACCTTAAGTAATATATAACAGATTGAGAGATTGAGTTAAGAAAGTCAGGAGCTGGAGGGCATCAGACTGAAAAATTGAACCAGGCTAGTGAAGTATGAAGAGTTTGAGGGTCTTGATCCAAAAAGGACAGAGCAATGGCCCAAAGAACTGCCCAGAAGAGTAGTTGTTTTCAAGAAGGGAGATAAACTCTAGAGCAATCAGACATGCCTGCCTCGCTATAAAGACCAAGGATGAGAGAGGGAGAGAAATGTCTTCTTTGGGTACAAGCAGGAAAAGGACCTAGACATAGCTAATAAACTGGAATTTGATGGACTCCATGATTGTGCTAGTAGCTTTATTTTGTTGCTGCATCCCAGGAAAGATCCACTTATAAACATTAGGGGTTGGCAGTTTGGCTATTTTCTGGCTCACTTTCTTTTCAATCTTAGAGAAAATTCAAGTGGCACTTCCTACTACTAGAGAAAGCTGGAAGGTGCTCAGGCTGATTTTAAGTTCCTTAAGAGCAGGGTGTGAGTTTTCTGCCATTGCATGCTCAGTACCTAGCACCGTTCCTACAGTATAGAAAAATTCCAAAAATACTTTTGTTCTGTCCTTCCTAGAAGAACAGTGGTAATAAGGAGGTAGAACCATAGAGCTACTTCTTTTCTGAGGCCACTTCTCTGAACCAGCTGCCACAAAACATTGTTTTATTTTGTATGCTTTCATGAAATTATAAGATCTCATCAGTGAGCCAGTCGTTTGCAGCTACTTGGATGGGCAGGTCAGAGAATTTTGAAATTTATTCATACCGACAGACTCAGAGAGAAGATAGCCCCATCTTCCTATGGAATTAAATGTCCCACAGGGTCAAACTGAAGATTTTAGTTCTGCATTCTGGCTTTGTATATGTATCTGTTACTTTTAGTCACCAAAACAATCAACTATTATCATGGCACCCAGCATATTTTTTTCAGTTGCATTCATAATAGAATTTAAGGTTCAAATAAAAGTTATACAATTGCTATGAAAAACCCAAAGATCTTTTTTTGTCTGAGATAAATATGGGCTCTATATACATGTTATATTAGTAGTAAAGGCCCATGTTATACGGTAGGAACCTTTTTGAGCAAATAAATTCATTCTCCAATCTTTACAGTTGAGGATAGCTTTACCTTTCTTATTCCAGGTACATCAGGCATATAGAAAGATGACTGATTGACTGATTGACCACCTACTAAAGTATATTTGAAGTAGCTCATATTTGAAAAAGCTGATCTAATAGGCTATTTAAATACTCTGAGGTCATAATTGCTCTGAGGAATTTATTCTGAGGCCCTTAATTCACAGCTCTGTATTCTTTTATGAGGTCATAACAGGAAAAAAAAAAAGGGCAATAGAAGAACTATTCACTTTGACAATTTTCTGTATTTTACAAAACCATATTTGAAAATAACATCCACTTTGATTCTCAGGTTTTCTTACACAAAGACCTACAACAAACATTTCCACTTGAGTTTACCCTATGTTAAAAATAAAATCCACAGAGCATATGCCATACATTTGCCCTCCCCAACCCCTTTTGTATATATGATCATAACCTTTAGAAATAAATGTCTGGGTAGAAAGCAGTTTTTCTCAGGAAATCAGTTACATCAATTTTCCTTCAATCTTTGTGTGGTCTCTATTGTGATTCCAAATTGCCACATTTTGCATTAGAGTCCCACATATATATCTTCCTATATCCTTTCAGAAATAGCCTGTAAGCAACATAAAGGCAAAAACTGTGATCTAATCCCCTAATATAGTGCCTATTACAAAGAGGGACTATATAAGTATTTACTGAATAAGTTAATAAAAAATGTATCAACGTACAGCCATCTATCACATGGAATCAGTAGCCAGGTATCTCACACTGTGATAAAATTTTCTTCGATTCCAATTTGTTGAGTGTAGTGAATGTTTTATATAATTCTCTATGCAGAAGGTGTCCTGGGGAAGGGCATGCATTTTAAACACTGGTTGCTTTGAAGAAGCCCCCACTACATATATATCTTTTTCTTTTAATCTGTTAGAGGGTAGCAGTGGACAGTGGACTACATGAATGTGGGGAGGTGGAGTAAGGCTTTATTTGGAAGTATATTTGCCTTTTATCCTAGTAAGTAATTTGTATAGAACATTGCACACATGGCCCTGTGTGAATAGGTCAGGTATGGGGCCTGAGTGAAGTCAGGGACAGGCTGTTCGGCACTTGCCACTGCAGCAGCCGAAGTCTTTGTCAGCTATTTCTGAATCTGTTTTACCATCCTTGTGTAACACATAAATTCTAGGCTTTTTTTTTTTTTTTTTTTTGACAGGGTCTTGCTCTGTTGCATAGGCTGCAGTGTAGTGATGCAATCGTAGCTCACTGCAGCCTTGACCTCCCGAGTTCAAGCAATCCTCTCACCTCAGCCTCCCAAATAGCTGGGACTACAGGCACATGCCACCATGCCCAGCTAATTTTTAAATTTTTATTGTGAAGATGAGGTCTTGCTATATTGACCAGGTTGGTTTTGAATTCCTGGTTTCAAGCAATCTACCCACTTCTGACTTCTCAAAGTATTGGGGTTACAGGTGTGAGCTATGGTGCCCAGCCAAATTCTAGGTCTTAACAATCTATAATTAACAAATATGTTTTTCTTTCTTTTTAAAAAATCTCTCTTTTTAAAAAATCCAGTCCCAATGGCCTCATTGTTGGAAATCTGCCCCCCAAAAGTGCCCCCCACCTGTTTCTAGAATCCTCATGGTGCCATCTTGAATACATGTTTGGTATCAGGTGTCCCTGGCTCTTCCTCCTCCATCTGCCCTGCCACCTCAGACTTGGTTGACTCTTGTGATTATTTATTTATTTATTTGCCAAGACTGGGTCTCGCTATGTTGCCCAGGCTGGACTTGAACTCCTGAATTTGAGGGATCCTCCCACCTCAGCCTCCCCTGCGAGGCTGAGTAACTGGTATCACAAGTACGTGCCACCATACCTGGCCATGACTGGTGATTTTGTTTCTTTGCTGAGACCAGCCACAGTCTGATGCTTCCCACTCCCCTTTAGCCCACCACCTGCTCCCTTCCCTTCTCAATGCACATGAATGTGATAGGGGACACTACATCACATTGTCAGGCAGTCCCTCTGCACTTCCTCATAGGACACTAGCTTTACTGAAGGATTAAATACGAGGAAAACATTGTAGGCAGTCACTATGACCACCACTTGATGTGGCTACTCTTTGAGTCTAAATCTGACATTGTCATTCCCCACTCAGCCAGCTTCTTGACCAACTCGTGGAGTGTTTCCATGCAGCAGGGGGTAACGCACACTTAACACTACATCCACTGCAAAGGCCAGGCAACACTCAGGCCAAGTGAAAATATGAAGAAGGCTTTCCCAAAGCAAGACCCACTTCATCATTAAGTCTTTCCCAGGACAGTTTAAAATGCGGAAATCCACACAGGAAAAATCTCACCTCCTATATCCATAGGCTTGATCTGGCCCCATGACTTTGACAAAACAGCCTCAATAGTAGTTGAATACATTACCCTCTAATCTGGTTTATTCTATCTATCCCGCTCAAGTTGAGCAGCACGAAATGTAATTCTTGTCACTATCTTTTCTCTACGTAACATGAAGAGAAGTTAAGGTGTGAGTCAAATTATTTCTCCCGAGCTCTTGTCATCAAAAACTTCATGCACATATACCTGGCAACCAAGAATGGACCACAGCATTTAGGCATGAATGATGCACATACAGATTAAGAATGGACAAACTCTTCTGAGTTTTAGGGGCACACATTTACTTTACTGAGTAGAATGCCTACTATCTCAGCCTAAAGTCTCTGCTTGGGGTGAATTCACAGAATTTATGGCATTCCCAGGAATGCAGAGAACTTGCCCTTTGACATGCTCAACTAAATGTCCATTCAAGCAATTTTTCTAAAAGAACAATAACCTCTAGTCTCCACCCTAGAAGAAAACAATGCTTATTACTTTGGAAATAATATTTTTAAATTGTAAAACTGTTAAGGTCAAGTCCTCCTAAAGAATCTTCTCTGTCTACCCCCTAATATTCTGTTCCAATATCCTGCAAATGCAAAATGTTATATAAATTCTGTTAATTAATCTCAGATCTATTCAGTTATCTATTCTCAGGTGATTTTATTTTAAGATTTTTGTAAAACTAACAGGCCCTTCTTAGGTAACAAAAAGAAAATGTGTAGTCAAGCATAAAAGATATACACAAAAGAGAGTTGGGAGATAATAAAACATAAGCAATGCAATCAGATCTGCCTTTGAGTCCTTGCTCTACCTTTTACTAACACCATGATCTTCAGAAAGTCATTAATCTTCCTGAGTCTTAAGTAAAATACAAATAATAACAGACATTTCCTCATACAAATTTTGGAAGAATACATGAGATAATTTATGTCAACTGCCTAGCTCAATGCTAACATATTGTTATTAATAGTGATTGCATGTTAACTTCTAATAATCTATATTATGAAGACTTCCATCATGATGCTCTCTGCTCTCTTAATATGTTTATAGACATCTTCCTATAATTTCTGTCACAGTCTTCTTATTTTTAAGATAGATTAGCTGGAGGCTAACATTTAAGGTTATACAACGGCTAACAGTTAGATAAATACAGAGGATCAAAGACTAAGCACAAATGCTAAACCTTCCTCTGAGGAGGCTTAGGGAAGTAACCTCTCCGATTTGATTAGAACATGCCTATGACACAAGGGAAGCCATGAATATGAGAGTGAGAGACCCTGGTTTTTCAAGTTGGTCTCATAGATACCATAAAGGAATGTGAGCTACAGGCCCCAAAATGAATCTGATTGGAAGTTTCTTGGATGCTGAGTTAGTCTCTCAATTGAGTATCTAAGAGGCTCACCATAGGTAGGTAAACAATGGATGTTTGTCAAATTTGGCTGAGATGATCAGAGCCTGGGTTTGCAGTTAGTAAATTTGTGCTAGCTTCCCTCTGGTTGTGTACCCTGAATTTGAAGGGCTGATGAAGAGTAGGATTATTTTAAGTGAATAATTTGACATACAGTATTTTATTAATATCCATGCCCAAGTTAAATAAAACATGAGGAAGGAGTTTGATTGAGGTGTTGAGAACAAAACATGTGACACTCAAATTTTAAAATAGGATGTTGAGCTAACTTTATGAGGGCCAGTCTTTACTCAAACAATCAGCTTAATTTACAGAGAACAAAAGTGCCCATAAATATTTGACCATGTCTATCCTGAGTTTAGTTACAACTCATTATTTTAGGGTCTGAAATTCACTCTCTCCAGCAGAAGCACAACTTCCACAATCCGGGAATGATATGTATGTGTGTGTGTGTGTGTGTGTGTGTGTGTGTGTGTTTTGCATGAAACACATTTTCCAAAAGTACATGTATTAGTCTGTTCTCGTATTGCTCTAAGGAACTCCCTGATCCTGGGTAATTTATAAGGAAAAGAGGCTTAATTGACCCACAGTTCTGCAGGCTGTACAGAAAGAATGGTTTGGGAGGCTTCAGGAAACTTACAATCATGGCGGAAGGCAAAGGGGAAGCAGGCATGTCTTCACATGGCACAGCAGGAGAGAGAGAGAGCAAAGGGGGAAGTGCTACACACTTTCAAACAACCAGATCTTGTGATAACTCATTCACTATATTGAGAACAGCAAGGGGGAAGTCTACCCCCATGATCCAATTACCTCCCACCAGTCCCCTCCTCCGTGAGATTTGAGTGGGGACCCAGAGCCAAACCATATCAGCACACTTTGTTGAATTACACTGGATTGAATCAGACACATATGAATTGAATTTACTTGAAATCATGGTATTGAACATTAAGAGGCTAAAGGGCTTAATGATGTATTTCAGATTTTGACAACATGACAAACCAAAACTTTTAAATATTGGAGTAGGTGAGCTCTGTCTTGAATACAAGGACATTCTATTAACAGAAGTCCTTGCCCTAAAATGTACCCTGGGTCAGTGGTCAGCAAACTTCTGTAAAGGACCAGACAGTACATGTTTTACACTTTTTGGGCCACATAGTCTCTGTGGCAACTACTTACCTCTACTGTTTTGGCACAAAAAAAGTTATAGACAATACATAAATGATAGTAGCTGTGTTCCAGTAAAACTTCTTTTACAAAACTACTGTTATCTGGTACAGGCCAGATACAGTAGTCTGAGGACACTTGCTCCAGATGAAGAGAATCCCTAACAAGAACTGGAAGTATCCTCTGGTATGGCAGATTCTGAACATGTGCCAGCTCCCCTTTGTGCCTGAGCTCCAGGACATCTCAGGGTGCCCTGAAAACTGGTTTAAGGTAGCCTGGAATAGTGTTGTGCCCTGTTATCTTCTTTCACTCTTTATTGTTGTTTTTATTATCTAAGTAATAAAAGTCCAGAAAAAATCAGAAAGTACAGTTGAGCAAAAAGAAAATAACACATCAGAATCTCACGCCTTAGAAAAATTATTTTGTTTTATATCATTTTATGTATTTTACTATGTGAAGGACTGATATGTATTTATAAATACATTATTTTATTTATATGTATTTATATATATACACATTATATACGTATATGTGTATATACACATACACACACACAGACCATTTGGTGGACTTATAATGAGTTTGATTAACCACTAAGAACTCTTACTAAATCAATCATGTAGCAGTGGATTTTCCTAGGTGTTCTACTATTGTCAAGTATAAGTAAAAAAACAAAAAAAAAAACAAAAAAAACACTAGCCTTTAGTTGGTACAGTGGAATAGAGAGATAGAGAAATAAAAATAAATTAATATACCCCCTTGTGATCCTAGATTCTAATTGTAATGGAAAGCAACTTAGTTTTCATGCTATGTTTTATTTTTAGGTCATTTTCAAGTGCACAAGTATATGTATTTTTAAACTGTATTGATACAGTTTCCCTTCTACCAAATCATTTCTGGGTGTTAGAGTTTTACTTTGGAAAGCAATGACCTAACTTCAGTTGTTAATTCCCTTTCAAAATATCCCAAAATTTGGGAGCAGATGCAAGGATCCTATTGAAAATCTTGACCATCTTGGCTGTTTGGTGCAAATCTAAATCTTGGCTTGAAAAACATTTTTTAAAATTTTTGTCGGGGGGTGGTGAAAATTCAATTTTAGAACTTGCCTCGTATAAGGACTTCTTAAATCTACTTTCAGAATCTAAATACGGAGTATGCCTTTAATGATATCCGTTTAAAAATCAAGGGAATGGAGATGCCCCAGCTGGGAGGGTATGGGCAGAAAAAGCTTCCAGTGGCCTCTTTCATTTAATCACAGTCAGCTTTCCTTCTAGGGGGTTCCAAATTAGCAGTGGGGCAACTTTTATTTTTTATTTTTCAGTTTGAACAAGCAGGTGTTTCTTTCATGAGGCCCATATGTTCCTTCACAAGCTTTATCCAAAGCACCTACAGTATAGCCTATGGCAATGTGGCACACGGCCAATTTCCTTACAAGACTTTCCTTTTTATTCCAAGGAGAATATGTGGCAAGTGAATGTAAGTGTGTATGTGCATGTGTTTAGGTTCATGTGTGTGTGTGCATGTGTGTTGAAGAAACAGGGCAAGAGAACCACAGCATTCTCTTTGGGTTGGTGGAGCATCTACTCATTATGCCAGAAAACCACAGCGAGGATGAGCCCACAGTGAGGCCTGAGGTCCAAACTGACCCCACGCCAAACTCCCGCTCATCGGCATATTTCCCAGCAGGCTGTAACGTGGCTCTGGCAGACCCTGAGAGCAGCTGTGTCTGCCTGGCAGACAGGCAGTAGTTCGACCAGGTGGATTTCTTAAGTTAAAAATAACGGTCATTCTGAAGAAAGAAGAGCACCACTCAAAGTTGACTGTTCCTTGTTCAATCAGGATCACCCACAGGAACCCAAAGGAGTGAGCCAGGGCGAAGTGATGGAAGTCTGTAGAGGTGAGAAAATAGAGAGCCTTCTACTGTAACTGCGGGGAAATGGGAAAACACCTGGAAGCCCCGATATCTGGCCAAGAGGTGTGTGAGAAATGATTTTCTGTAGAAGTGTAACTTCATGATCACCATCAAAGTTTATGAGTTGCTAGGGAGGAAGTGAACAATGTTTAGGAAAGGAAAAAGCTTGCCCTTCAGAACAAGCAACTGGTCTAACACTTATGACAGGGACATTAAATAATTGAGAGCAAAAAGCTGTGTGCTATTTGGTCCTACAAGCTTGAAAACGAACCTGCCATCTCTACTCATCCTATACTCACCTTTATGTCTGTATTTACAGGGAAGTGAAACATATGAATCCCTTTATTCTATATTTGCTAGAAATATGGGAGTATGTTACCATCAAAAGATACTACTACAAAAATTCTTAAAAGGTGATAATTAATAAATTTGAATTGAAACATGCCACAAATATAGAAATTGCAACAACTTGTAAGAGTAAAATCAGTGGCAGTGCTCTGCCTGAGCATGATATTTAAAAAAACAAAAACAACAAAAAAAAAACACAAAAACTATTTTGAAATAAAGAAGATGAACAGGACCAAATAGCTACCTATAAATTATTTCGCATTTGGTTTTCTTTCATTCCCAGCGCAATGCCTTCTGGTGATTTGCTTCCTGAAGTGCTGTTTGTGTATTAGCAGTGTCTCCTTGTTAATTGTAAATTGTAAATTTCCGTTAGCAGCATTTCTTTGGAGCTTGCTAGAAATGCAGAATATCTAGCTCCACCCCAGACCTACTGAATCAGAATCTACATTTTAACGAGATCCTCAGGTGATTTGCATGCACATTAAAATTTGAGAAACTATCCTGGTTCCATTCGGAAAACTTAATTTCTATAGTTAGTTACACCTATTATTTATTCCAGGCAATGCTGATTGTAATATTTATCCATGGTTGCTGGGTAATGAAACCATCAGTCACTATCTCAACCTACATGGGGATTCTGAAATAAAAGTTAAAAACCTTTCTCAGTGTTTTGGCTGAAATTGACAATACTAGAAGAATTCAATTTATAGGAATAATAAAAGCAAAGCCATATGTAGTCACACATTTTGAATTGCTGAAGTTTAAATCTGTTTGCTTTAATCACATTAGACCCTGCTCTATTACTCTAGGACAATTATTTCAAGGAAATGATGACATCACGGAGCATCTCATTAAAGGTATTGATTAGCTGTCATAAAGCCAGCTCAGAATGATATTCGGTGCCAATTAAATTGAAGCCTTATGTCTCAAATAAGATTGTATTAGCTAATCTTAAATTTTGTCTATTAGACTATGTGATAATTTAGTCTAGTAGATAAAATTAATGAATTTTGTCTACTAGCTAAAATGTACAAAGATACAGTATTATTCCTTGATTGCTACAGTCTCTTCAAACAATGGTGAAAAGTGATTCACGCTTCAACTTTGTGATAAGCGGACAACATGAGATTGGAGGCACCAATGCACACACAATGAAGCATAATGCATGGAAGAATACAGTGGTGACAGGGGAGTGTGACCTCTGTTTCTGTAATCTGAGACTGCATCCTGCTATTGACCTACTCTCTCAGCTTCACCTAACACCAATGGAAATCCTGTACGTGAAACAATGACAGGATATTTCTGGAAAAGTTATAAAAAGTCAGGGCTCTGGAGAGAACTATTCAGAATGCATTGTTCATGAACTCATGGAATCTTTACATAACACCCACCAAATAACAGTATTTTTAAAATATCTAAGGAAATTCCTTACTTATCAAATTCAATCGGCGTTTACTTTAAAAGAAAAAAGCAGTTTTGGCCTCTAGGCATTAAAGATTTACAGTTTAGATATTCAGAGGAAAATTATTTTTAATGAACTAATGTAGCGATTCTTGAACTTTCACATGCACCAGGATCATCTGCAAGGCTGGGTAGAGCACGGGATTCCCTGGGTTGTATTCCAGATTCTGTAGGTCTGAAGCAGGGCCTGGAATTTGTATTTCTAACAAGTTCCCAGATGATGGTGATGCCACTGGTCCAGGGACCACAATTAAAAATCCCAGAACTAAAGTGTATTACCGATTACTCGCATTGCTAATTTTATGTTCATTTATTCTACAAATATTATTAATTATTTTCTGTGCATCCAGGACAATGCTAGTTGTTAAGGATGCAAAGTTGAATAAATCATCCTTGCTTTCCATAGTCTGATATGATTTGCTGTGTCCCCACCCAAATCTCATCTTGAATTGTAGCTCTCATAATTCCCATATGTTGGGGGGGAACATGGTGGGAGATAATTGAATCATGGGGGCAGTTTCCACCATACTGTTCTCATAGTAGTGAATAAGTTTCATGAGATAAGATGGTTTTATAAGGGGTTTCTCCTTTAGTCTGGCTCTCATTCTCTCTTGTCTGCCACCATGTAAGACCACGCCTTTCGCCTTCTGCCATGATTGTGAGGCCTCCCCAGCCACGTGGAACTGTGAGTCCATTAAACCTCTTTTTCTTTATAAATTACCGAGTCTCGGGTATGTCTTTATCAGCAGCCTGAAAATGTACTAATATGTAATCGAATAGGATTACACAGTCCCATAGAGAAGTACCTATTTTCCTTAGGCCATAAATTAGAGGCGGTAAGCCCTGCCTCTGCCCTGTGTATCGGTGTAGAGACTGGTGTCGCTCATTCCCTGTGCCTCCACTTCCCTCCACCCTCAAAAGGTCTTCACAGTACATGGAGGGTTCTGTCTCAATTCCTTCCTCTTCCAGGCCCCAGGAGATGGTATTCAACATTAGCTGGCCATCCAGACTCCACATCCAGCATGGACTACCATTCCCATGTTGCTCACTGAGTCTTATTTACTTTCTGTTATTTACAATATCTGTGACCTAGCAGGTCATTTTCTTGCAAATTGGAGCTTGAGTCAGCCTTGTGCATCACAGTCACCACACCTAGGTTTCCACTTTGGATCCTGCTCTCCTGATTTGCTCTTGCAAGGAGCATTTTTGTAACAGTGCAATTACTTTCATTTCACTGATAATAACTATTCAAGTAGCCCACCTGGATATAACAGGAGCTGGGAAGACATCTCCCAGTTACATATCTACAGTAGGGAAGGGTGGCACAAATCCTTAGCAGGCCATGTATCATCTCTTCCAGAGTCCAGCTCTCAAATATCCACAAACACCTTTCCATACAAAACACACTCACCGCCTCAAGAGGACAAACCAGAGTTCATCAAACTCTAGTTCAATCCTAGCTCAAAGTCCAGGATTTCTGAATAATATCCTCAATATTCCATCAAGAGTGTATGTGGCTTCATTTAGTTTAGCAACTTATAAAAAAAAATCTCCATTATACAGATGAATAAAGACAAACTTAGATGAAGTCACGTGCTTAGGTCATGGGTGGCAGAATCAAGCTTCATACCTGGTCACTCTCACTCCAGAACTCATGCTCTTTCCCCTCTGCCACTCCACCTCCCTGCAAGGAGTGTCAGAATTAGTGTGAGCAGTTGCTCTGGAGTTGGCTTCCTACTGGGGATAAACTACTTTTAAATCCGCAAATTTTTATATCTGCATCACTTCTTTCAAGAAAAGAAGGGCTTTTACTGAAAACAGTTGAAATGAAAAATTCACCTGAGGATATACATACAAGCTAAAACTTGGACAAGAGAGTGAGAGAGCTGAGAGTGGGTTATAGGCAGACTTGGGAGACCTCTCCCCAAGGCCACAAGTCACTCTGAGGGCAAAGAGGGATTATCTGGCATCTACCAACCGAGTCCCCTTCAGAATGCCCTCTAGCTAAAATTCACAGAGCATGTCACCAGACACTGGGCTGGAAGGGACAAACTGGCCTGAAAGATGAGTTGGTTAATCATGACCAACCAATTGAGAATCACAGCTATTTATTCTACAGAAAAACGTTGCTGCCAAACATAGCTAGACACTGAGGGCTTTCATTTAGAGTAATATGCTTACTCTTTTCCTGTGTTTCCTATGGGCCCAGTTTTGTCTTGTCCATGCAGTTGTAGGTAATTCACCCTAGTATTAGCATGGGATTAATTCTTAAGGAAATATGAAGCAAGTCAAATATTTTTCCAATTTAAGTTAATCATAGGTTTCTGTTTATTTATTCAATTAAAATTATATGTTATATTTTAATTAAAACTAAAAAATTACTTACCACATTTTCAGCATGTTTTCTCATGTTCTCCTAAAAATTATGAGAATGATTGTAATTATTTCAATATGCAGAGTGAGCTGGAATAGAAAAAACTGAGTTTATCATGAAGCTGAGTATGAACCTTTAAGTTCAAAGATTGTAGGCTTCCTCAGAAGCTAACAATGAGAAGGGGATATGAAATTGTGATAAACCTGTCTCAAAAACCTCTTACATGTGACCAAGTAGAAAATTAGCTTCTGCATGCCCTGCATGATGTGACCCATGAGAGGATGAGGGGACAGATACTGATCGCCTAAGCTGAAGTCATGTACTTAGGAAAGATAGCCTTAGTTCTTAGGTCAGAGACTCAAACTTGTTTTTAGTTGACATGTTTTGACCCCATTTCCACTTTTAAAAGACCTATATTTCCAAGCATAGCTGCCCTTACTCCCAATATATACAACTGTGCTTATGATCCCAGTAGAGGTGTGTAAGTCTTTGCACAGGCAAGATAAAAACATGTTACCCACAGAGTTCACATTTATCTGGGCCCAGATGGGGACAGATGGAGCAACCTGAAGGCAGGATTGAGAAGGAAGTAATATCACACTATAATGAGCCTGTATGATCTTCATCCATTTCTTCCTTAGTGACATCCTATTTCCAGGATTCCAGTGTCTGGAGAGTTTGTCCCTTCCCTGATTGTACACTGGCTTAAATAGATCCTTTTAATTCCCCTGACCAGATCAGAAGCATCCCACCCATAGCCTTGCTTATCCCAGGCCTCAGGATCCATAGCTGTGGGACTCAACCTCCAATCATCTTGGAGGTAGAATGAACTTACGTCCTCTTGTTTCTATAATAATACACTGAGTGTCTGTCTTGCTTTCTCACCCATGGTAACTTGACTATGTTAATTATCATTGTAAATTCATGCATTGGTTTTCTGGATTGTCATATTTATCATATCCTTCCTTCCTTCCTTTCTTCCTCCCTCCCTCCTTTCCCCTCCCCTCTCCTCTCCTCCCTTCCCCTCCCCTGCTCTGTTCTGCCCTTCCCTTCCCTTCCTCTGCCCTGCCCTGCCCTCCCCTCTTCTCTCCTCCCTCTTTTCTTTTTCTTTCTCTTTCTTTTTCTTTCTTTTCTTTCTCTTTCTTTCTTACTCTTTCTCCTTCCTTCCTTCCTTCTCTCTTTCTCTCTTTCTTTTTCACAGGGTCTCACTTTGTTGCCTTGGCTTGAGTGCATTCTCTTTTCTTTCTTTCTCTCTTTCTTTCTCTATCTTTCTTTCTCTCTTTCCTTCTTTCTTTTCTTTTCTCTTCCTTCCTTCTTTCCTTCACTCTTTCTCTCTTTCTTTCTTTCTTTGGGTCTCACCCTGTTGCCTTGACTGGAGTGCAGTGGCACGATCATAGCTCACTGCAGCCTCAGACTCCTGGACTCAAGTAATCCTCCTGTCTCAGCCTTCTGAGTAGCTGGAAGTACAGATGTGTGCCACCCTGCCTGGCCATATTTCATCATTTCTAATACATGTTGTTTCACTTTTTAAAATTTTATCCTTTAAAATATTTTAACATGTGCCTTATATCAATGGCATCTTTAGGCAGGTGGCATTTGTGACATGGCTGGCATTAATCATACTTGGTTTTTATACCTGGTGCCATGAGTAGACAACTGCCACCACTTGTGTTTCAGTCAACAAACTATTTTGTTTTGTTGTTGTTCACTTGAAAATGAAGTAAGAGTTCAAGCTCTTGCTGAATACCACCTTCAGCTGGCACCTTCCAATGAGCTTATGAAAGCACCAATATCAAAATATGCAGAAAGTGTGCCAGCAGTTTAGAAGAAAATGCTGAAGATAAAAGTAATGTATTAACATTTAAGACATGCTTCATCACCAATACCCTTCATGTAATAAAGCAGGGGCTCAAACTCAAGCATGTGTCAGAATCACCTGCAGAGTTTGTTAAACACAGATTGCTGGACTCCAATCCAGAGTTTCTGTTTCAGTAAAGATCTGGTGTTGGGCCCAACAATGTGTGTTTCTAACAGGAGTCCAGATGATGCTGATGTCACTTGTCCAAGCGTTATATTTGCAGAACCAGTGTCCTAGAGAATGATTTAAAATGAAAATGTTTCTCCATCTGCTAGCTCTTAGGGCAGCATGAAGACAGCTTGACACTGAGGCAGCTTCCAGAGTCAGCTCTCTGGAACTCCCAAGCAAATTTTCCCATTTCCTGGACCATAAATTTATCTCTCCACCATACTCTATGGACTTTCCTCTTTTTCTCCCCAAGCCTGTGGCCATTTCTTCACATCTCTCCTGGAAGAAGCATTGGCCCTGCAAATATCTTTCAAATCCTGAGCGATATTTGCTCATTTCTGTTTTTCTTCTCACAGTAATTATTCACAATTCTTGATGTGAATGGGTGGCAGAGGAGGGGGTATCTGGAAGGGCGGGTGAATCCACCTTTGGGATTCATTTGAGAGAGTTCAGTGAACTGAAGAGAAGATTTAATGCAAAAGTCTAAAACAGAAAACAATATATTTTTTTCATTTTTCTACTGCTGCACATCCTTCCCTATTTAATGTTAATTTTTATCTTGGGTTTTCCTCCCCTAGAATTGAGGAACTGGAACTCTGTCTAAATCTATATCTTCTGAATAGTTAATTCTCACATGCTCCAAAAGAAGCAACGAATACTCCTCCAACATGTAACAAGTATAAATTTTACTTTAATGAATCAGATGTTTGCAAACAAGGATTTTGCTTTATTTTGCACCTGATATACTTCTCTTGACTTTTGATCCCATCGTCTGAGCCATCCATCTGCTCGGAGCAAGCTAGCCATGCTCTCCCATTTCAGTCGACTCAGTGTAATCCAAAAATATTCCAGCTGAAACTAAGCATTAAGATTGTAGGCGCCATTCAGTGCAAAGCTTCTTTCTCCAGGGTACGTGGTGTCCTTGCATGCCTGCTCACAGCTATGAGAAGGAGCTTTCAGAAAAGAGGCAAAGCCAAAGCCCAGCACTGTCCTAGGGCTCTGGTGATGCCCAACTGCGAAGCCTTGATTGTTGCCCCTATTACTGTAGATGGAACTAATTGCTCACTCTGTCATGAGGCATGTTGGATACTCTTAGGACCATCATTTGGGTTCTCCTCAGTAACTACTTGGTAATCCTGATAAGACATGATTGGGGTTTTTTCACCTCCCCAACTCTCCCCTCCTGCCAACCATGAGCTTTCTACCCATCATAGCTCCATTAATCAGATCTCCCTTCTTGGGCAGGTTTTTGTTTGACAACAAACAAAGTCATGCTCCCTAGGAGAAGCTAACACCTTCCCCTACACTGTTTGTGGCCATAGGAATCTTGGGAATTCCTACCTTGCACCATGAGGCAGTCTTTACTTTCTTCCACCTCAATCTGTTACTGCCCACTTTCTGTTGCCCTTCCCTGTTGCCCTCCTGTTCTACCTGGATCTGGGGTTCTGCTAAACAGCAAATGCCAGGAGAGAAGCAAATCGTGTATTTAAAATTACCCCTAAGCTTGGGAGAAAATCCACCCACTGTCTCCATTATCGAGATTACCCAGGAGGCCGTGCACTTGATTCTTCCTTTCCTTATGTTTCCAACTCTCATTCCTCCAACTTCTCAGACAAATGTATATAGCCATGGAGAGTGGTGGGGGAATTGTGGCAGGGAGGTGTTGGGTTGGGAGAATTAGAGTCATTTATTTTACTTGTTCACTGTGCCTTGGGGCTTTGGGTAGGGTGTCTGGCTTCCAGGAAAAGATGCTCATTGAATTTAAGAAGTGAAATAATATAAAAATATTTGTTCTCCTCTATACTTTCTCTTTACCTATGAGTGGAAGGGGCCAGCAGGTAGTCTGAAGACTCAAGAAGGGGCATTATTCATTGATACTTCATATTATTTTGTTACCTACTTCATTTTCTGGTGAGCACAAATTTGCAGGAAACACACTTCTCAACTGGGGTTCAACCAAATTTACAACATAAATGTTTGAAGCCCTGCCTCTGAGCCAAAGTAAGTTAATTAAGATAATTCATTAGACCAACATCCATTGAGTACTCCAAATATTTATATATATATGGCACTGGCTAGATAATAATACATGGGTGATCATGGTAGGAGTACTGAAGTTGGGCAGAGGGTCAAGAGATATTTCTGAGAGGAGGCGGGTATCAAAATATGAAGACCAGCTGGCCAGCATGTCAAGAGGCCACATGGAATGACACCTTTATATGAGCCAAAATAATAAATGTCCTACTTCAATCATTGTAGTTATAAAACTTCACGGTGCCTACTTGTGTCTATGCTTGTCTCTGCTTAAAACACAAGCACCTTGAGGGTGAAGTCCGTGCTTTGCTCTTTGCCAAAATCTCACACCTTACCTGGCAAACATCAGATGCGCTATGAGAATCAGTAATTTGTTGGAGCATTATTATTATGAATAGAATGCTGAGTAACATTCCAAAAATTATTAAACCTTGAGAATTATTTGACAGAAACAAAATATAATCATTCTTTAACTACTGGTGTAAAAATTGCACTCTTATATCAACCACTCACAGTTGAAATTAAAATGGAATCTCTCTCATAACAATATTAGAAGAAGAAAATTAATGGCTTTGCATTAATGAGCTTCCTGGTTTATTACTTAATAAATTACTGTTAGTTACAAGAAATATTTTAGAAGACTGTAACTGTTAGATACACTATATTCCATGCATATTGATGTCATGTTAAATTATTTTGACTTCCTTTTACAAAAGACAAAGAAAAATCATTTAAAGAATTATAAGGATGCAAAATGCTAGCTCTGGTGACCTGATGTTTTTATGATTATGTCATATATATCACAAATAAATCATAGCCATTGTATTGTTGCATCTTGTTAAATTGTATGAAGATCTAATTTAAGGCCAATGTTGATAACATTGTAGATAAATTAACCATGTTCTTTGCATGGATGGTTTTATAGCAGAGACTCAGTGGTGAGGAAGTTAAAATTCTGTTAGAATCTCCATTATAAATTTTCAAAGCATCTTGTTCTCTGATTGAAATTTAGTAGCAAATCCTAAGACTAGAACTGTCTTACTAATTAAAAGAAATTATTTTACCCTGGTTAAAAGATGCAAAGTTACAAGGAAGTTAATGCATCTGTATTTCCTAGCATTATTAAAAGATAATGTCTACCCATACAAAATAGTAAATCAGGACAGAAAACACCACGTATTACAAAAATGAATACGAAATTATAAAATCAAACCCAAGACGAACCAGCAATTTGACACTTCCCTGGACCTCTCTTAATTGTCAGTGAAAAATGGAGTTTTAATAGGAATATATCTAAAATCTTTCTACCTATTATCTACCTGTGATCTATTGCTTACACTGTATTATCAGTCACATCCATCATTTTTAGTGTTAACAGGCCAAACACAGAACTAAAAAGAACATTCCATATTCCATCTCCCCACCAACATGCTGCAATTTCTTAAGCTCTATTGCAGACCATAGGAATTTATTCCCTTCTTCAAGATTGCCAGGAAGACCATCCCGGTTCAGCTCATGCATAGTGTAAGAATCCTCACACAAGCGTATCTTTAAAAGGCATTTAAATTGGCAAAATATATAACTTTGTAACTTAGCAACGTTAGACTTATAATAGACACATTGTAAGTAACAATTAATGTCTATAGCCCACGAGGATATTATACTTGGTATAACTTAGATCCTGAAAGATTAATTTGCATAATAGACTATGACCACATTAAAAAAAAAAAAAGACAATTATGCCTAGCCCAAAGTACTTTATCATAAAAACAGACACAGTCACGTGGGAACTAATTTTCTATTTGGCTTCTTTCTGTAAATCAATATCCGAAGAAGCCTAAAGTTTCTTAAGCTAAAACCAGAATGAATTACTTCAGGGAATGAGATTCCACACCTGACCAATGTTCCCTGGCTACAGGACAGGAAAATCTTTGTTGTTTATTACAACATCCAAATACCATATTAAGCGCTTAATTGCGAGTAGTGTTATGTGAAATACTAATATGACAGGACTTGGACTTTAAAAAAGAACTTGAATAATATGACCAGGGCATGCCTTCAGCACATACAAGGCATAATTGCACTTCATAAATAGGGAGTGAATTTTTCCAGTTTGACTGAGTAGGTAGGAAATTATAAATCTCTCTCAGACTGTTATAGTTTAAGCCAATTTTCTTTGATTATGTCAACTGTAGGGCAAGAGAACTGCTTATTGCCAGTCTCTGACAGCCCTTTTTCTATCGAATGACTATAAAATATTTCCTAAGTTTTATGTTTTGCCAGCAGAAAAAAAAAAAGCCTTGTTTTTTCAATATTTCTTTCAAGTGTGATATCCAATTAAACCATGTTTGCAGCTCTTCTTTGAATCCTCTCTGTATTCTCTATAACCCTCATTCATTTGGTAAGTGTATGCCAATAATGTTTTGATTTTTCCCCCAAGAGAATGGCTCATATTCTCTTCTGTGTTTTTTGTTTTGTTTTGTTTTTGATACATTCAGTGTTATGCTTGTGTTGTACACTGCAGACAGGTCTTCATTGCAGACTTGGAGCAAGCTCATCACCCACCATGTCCTACTTTCTTATCCAACCTATGTTTCGTCAAACCTTTGCCTATTTGAACTTGTGCAAAAGCTCTTTTCTTGGGTGTTATGCAGCAATTATCCTGTGGAAACCTCTCTATTAATTCTTTAGTTTACAAGATCACTTTAGTTCTACATTTGTCTCCTGAGATGCTGAGCATGCTTATTAAAGGAAGCATTCTTTGAAAAGTCCAGGCCACTCCCTTATTAAGACTTGGAAGAGACAGAGCACAGAAATGAGTACTGTGTAATAGTATTTTCTTGATGCCCCTCCAAATTGACATTAAATTACTCATAGACATTTTATATGATAGGATCTTACAACTGGTTGTATATCCAATGAATGATGGGTGTTGTCTGTATTTTGACATAGATACCCATGCCCTGTGAAACTAAATTAAAATCTTTGCTGTTATGAAGATAGGTTGAGTCTCTGATTTCCCGTAAATCTCTCCAGCCTGCCCAAGAGCAATTTTTCCTAACTGAGAAAAGACTTTAGCTTTGTTAGAGGAGGGGATTGTCACTGAACTTCATGAGGTGGCAGGTCGGCTTCACCATTTCCCCTTTAGGCTTCTCCCTAAGGGATGGTGAGCTGCTCATCTTATCATGGCTCCTATCTCGAGATCATGATATTCACCGGGCTAGGTTTTGCTAGAAGTGTTAGGTAAACGGGAGCCTAGAAGAGCCAGGGTGACTCCATTTTAAAATCAACTCCATCTTAATATTAGCAAGGCACTCAGACCTCCTTCTCCCCCTCCCCGCTGGTGCTCTCTGGTTCATGTGGGAACAGATCTAGTCAGGTCTTGCTTCAAGAAAACTCCAGCTGGTATTTTGTTTCTTCTCTTTTTCTTCCCCAACCTTCACCTTCAATCTTCAACCTTCAAAGATGTCATTTTTCTTTCTGAGCCTGCAGTCACACCTGAGCTTGCTGGATCTAAGATTTATATTAAAAGGGGAAACAGGGGGCCTCCCTTTCATCTCAAGTCAAAATTATATGCTCCAAATACCTTGTCAAAGAGGCCCTATGTCGGGGCATCAGGTGCTGGCTTAGTTGCTACTAAAACGGCACGGTATTTCCTATTTTTCTATTATTCCTTGTGTCTATAGTGTCCTAGGGGCTGTCCATGGAAAAGAGAGGTCAGGAAGGTCACAAACACTTCAAGGTCCCTAATAGTAAAATCATAAAAGAAACAAACTTATTAACGTTTAACATTGACACCCAAGTAGAGGCCAGTGGATGCTGTTGTTGGGAAACAATTTATCAGACAGGGAGGTTGTGTGATGGGTTTTATCTGGTACAGTCCATTTGGCTTCTCTGAATAATAAAAAAATTATTTGTTTTAGAGTGAAGAGGCTTTTCCAAGTGCTTAAACTGTCCAGCTGCTTAGTGAACAAGGATCTAGCTCTGGTTGAGTATGGAAATATCTTTCCTGGGAAAATGTTTTCGAGGTGGTGGTTTTTCCTGGGAAGAATTTTAGAGGTTATTAATTTTTCTTTATTTCCCAAATGCTCATTTTCTATTCTGTGATGGAGGATCAGGAATCTCAGCAAACACAGAAGGGCTTCATCGGATATAGGGCTGTGCATAAGCCTGGCTATGGAGCCCAGCAGAAAAAGAGAACAGTTGGTGTGGACACATTGAAGGGAAGGAGCATTGGTACTCATTTTCCCATTCCAAAGGCCTACCCTTGCCCACCATCCTGTCCTCTGTCTCCAGTTGATTCCACAGTGCATTACAATTATGGTTTATTTCCCAATTTCCTAAATAATCCTTTTCTGTCTATCTCATTTTTCTCTACTAATTCTACTTCTAAGATTTGGCCCTGGCCTTCTTCTCACACTAGTACATCCTCTTTCCTGGAGACCTCAGGAACTACCATCCAGGGTAGATCCAGGTTTCGTAGGACATAAAGCTTATCCAGTTTGATGCAGCTCCATGTAGGTCCCCCAAGTGTTTTTGTTTTGAAAATTTTATAGACACCATTGACCATGGGAAATGTGGCCCTCAGCTTCAAACCTACCCATTTATACTCTATTTTCTGAGGCTGATGCTGGCGCTGTGAAAACCACATTTTTCTATAGCCAGGTGGCTCCCTGTTAGGCTCCTAAAACATACCTTTAGGAATGCTAGAGGAAAACTGGATTGCTGGAGGAGGGCTCCTACCTGCTTACCTTTTGATCCTGATGCTATTTTGTCCGGAATTGGTGGGTTCTTGGTCTCACTGACTTCAAGAATGAAGCCGCAGACCCTCGCGGTGAGTGTTACAGTTCTTAAAGGCAGCGTGTCCGGAGTTTGTTCCTTCTGATGTTCAGATGTGTTCGGAGTTTCTTCCTTCTGGTGTGTTTGTGGTCTCCCTGGCTCAGGAGTGAAGCTACAGACCTTCGCGGTGAGTGTTACGAATCTTAAAGCGGAGCCTCTGGAGTTGTTCGTTCCTCCCAGTGGGCTCGTGGTTTTGCTGGCTTCAGGAGTGAAGCTGCAGACCTTCACAGTGAGTGTTACAGCTCATAAAAGCAGTGTGGACCCAAAGAGTGAGCCGTAGCAAGATTTATTGCAAAGAACGAAAGGACAAAGCTTCCACAATGTGGAAGGGGACCCGAGCGGGTTGCCAATGCTGGCTCGGGCAGCCTGCTTGTATTCTCTTATCTGGCCCCACCCACATCCTGCTGATTGGTAGAGTGGAGTGGTCTGTTTTGACAGGGCGCTGATTGGTGCGTTTACAATCCCTGAGCTAGACACAAAGGTTCTCCACGTCCCCACCAGATTAGCTAGATACAGAGTGTTGACACAAAGGTACTCCAAGGCACTACCAGATTAGCTAGATACAGGTGTCGATTGGTGCATTTACAATCCCGGAGCTAGTCATAAAGGTTCTCCAAGGCCCCACGAGAGTAGCTAGATACAGAGTGTCCACTGGTGTATTCACAAACCCTGAGCTAGACACAGGGTGCTGATTGGTGTATTTACAATCCCTGAGCTAGACATAAAGGTTCTCCACGTCCCCACCAGACTCAGGAGCCCAGCTGGCTTCACCCAGTGGATCCCGCACCGGGGCTGCAGGTGGAGCTACCTGCCAGTCCGGCACCGAGTGCCCGCACTCCTCAGCCCTTGGGTGGTCGATGGGACTGGGCGTGGTGGGGCAGGGGGTGGCACTGGTTGGGGAGGCTCGGCTGCACAGGAGCCCATGGAGGGGGTGGAAGGCTCAGGCATGGCGGGCTGCAGGTCCCGAGCCCTGCCCCGTGGGAAAGCAGTTAAGGCCCGGTGAGAAAAGCGCAGCCCCTGTGGGCTGGCACTGCTGGGGGAACCAGTACACCCTCCACAGCCGCCGGCCCGGGTGCTAAGTCCCTCATTGCCCGGGGCCGGCAGGGCCGGCCGGCTGCTCCGAGTGCAGGGCCCGCCAAGCCCACGGCCACCCAGAACTCCAGCTGGCCTGCAAGTGCCCCGCGCAGCCCCGGTTCCACTCGCCCCTCTCCCTCCACACCTCCCTGCAAGCTGAGGGAGACAGCTCTGGCCTTGGCCAGCCCAGAAAGGGGCTCCCACAGTGCAGCAGTGGGCTGAAGGGCTCCTCAAGTGCCGCCAAAGTGGGAGCCCAGGCAGAGGAGGCGCTGAGAGCGAGCGAGGGCTGTGAGGACTGCCAGCATGCTGTCACCACTGCCAGCACGCTGTCACCACTGCCAGCACGCTGTCACCTCTATCATCCCAGCAGTGCCTCTTCACCTAGGCAGCAGCACTTCATTCAAGAGTAACAGTTGATTCCAGTGTGTGGTTTTTCCTATAGTCTTAGAGAAAATATCATCACATGATTTCAGAGCACCAGCTAGCTCTTCTCTACAGCAAAGATTTGAGTTCTAGCTTTCTGGAGCTCTCTTCTATCTTCTAAATTTTAATAATTCTAAGTTTCCCTTTGTTTTTCAGCCCATAGTGAGGTAGAAGCTTCCTGCATTTAAATCTCCATACACTTTGGAGTCCCTTTTGCCTAAGTATTGAGGTATGATTTACATACAGTAAAATTCTCCTATATTAGTATACAATTATTTGAGTTTGGATAAATATATGAAATCATATAACAACCACCAAAATTAAAGATTTGAATAACCCCATTGGCACATATTATTTTTTCATGACCCCAACATATTCTTTACATCAACAACCCCCCACCCTACCACCATCCTCAGCCTCTAGCGACCACTACTCTATTTTTTTTTTTTTTTTTTTGAGATGGAGTCTTGCTCTTTCACGCAGGCTGGAATGCAGTGGCACGATCTCAGCTCACTGCAACCTCTGTTTCCCAGGTTGAAGCAATTCTCCTGCCTCAGCCTCCCAAGTAGCTAGGACTACAGGCGCACACCACCATGCCCAGCTAATTTTTTGTATTTTAGTAGAGACAGGGTTTCACTGTGTGGCCCAGACTGGTCATGAACCCCTGAGCCCAGGCAATCCACCTGCCTCAGCCTCCCAAAGTGCTGGGATTACAGGCGTGAGCCACCACACCTGGCCACTACTCTATTCTCTATAGAGCAAAGTTTTGTCGCTTTGGGAATATCATAGAAATAAAGCCATATAGTATGTAGTTTTTTTGAGCCTGACCTCTCTAAATTAGCATAATGCATTTGAGATTCACCTACATAGTTGCATTTAGCAGTAGTTTATTGCTTTTTTATTGCTGAATAGTATTCCTTTGTAAGACCATAACATTTTTTACTTATCCTTTTGCCAGTTGACAGACTTTTGTGTCATTTCCAATTTTTGGTAATTATAAGTAAAGGCACCAGAAGTTCACATATAAATTTTCATGTGAAATTAAGTTTTCATTTCCTGTGGTAAATAGCTAGACATGGGATTTGTGAGTCATATATAGTAAGTGAACATTTAACTTTATAGGAAACTACCAGACTGGTTTTTCACAGTGGCTGTATCATTTCCATTACTACCAGTACTGTGTAAGAGTTTTAGGTACACTGCATTTATACCAGCAATTGATACTCTGTTTTTTGTGTGTTTTCTTTCTTATCATTCTTACAGATATATAGTAGTATCTCCCTGTGGGTTTCATTTGCATTTTCTAATGACTAGTGATGTTGAAGATCTTCTTTAAATGATTATTTAGACTCAGCATTCAATTCAAACCACTTCTCCAGTAATAATTTATATTGTTTCCTAACTAAATCTTCTAACATTTTTTATTTAAATACAAGAAGAGTAACACTCTTACAAGGTGAATGAAAAGAGAGATTCTTGTATTAGGAAGGAATTTAATGCATTACCTCCAAGGATAAATGATCATATTAACTTGGTATATAAACATTTTCTCTCTCTCTCTCTCTTTCTGTATGTGTGTGTGTGTATGTATATGTGTATATTATATTCATTTATTTAGGGTGCCCAGAACAAAGCTTAATAGAAGAGGAAATAGGTGACAGAAATATTTTAAAATATTAACAGATAAATTGCCCCTGTATTTCTATAGATCCCTATATTCCATGACCCTTTCCCAGGTCAGGCATCTAAACCACACAACGTCACGAAAAAATGCAACTGATAGAGGGAATAAAATTCCTGGCTTTAGAATATCAAAAACCTAGGGTTTCAGGCAAAAAGAAAACATGTGGAAGAATATATGATAAGGCAGTATCTAACCTTTGCTCAAACTAGGTAAAAGATGTTTAGGACAAGAGGAGAGGTAGAGGGAGCCATCAAGGAATCAAAGAGAGCTGAGACATTGGCAGGCATCCTCTATGTCCCACTGCCTTCAGCCAAGACCCATGGGGAAGACAATGGAACTCCCAAATGAGTTTGAGGATCTGAAAGCACAGAGGGATAGTCATAGAACCATCAGCTCCTCAGTTCCCATCCTAGTGCTAGAAAAGAGAAAATGTCTGTTTCGTGATCTTAGGGTTGAGTCAGCCTCATAAAATCTCCCAATGCTTAGTAGAATGTTTCTTGCATAACTGAGAACAATGTGGCACTAACAGAGAGGTATAAGACCAGAAGAGGTCTCAAGTGGGAGTGACCTATTGACAAACCCCATGCTGGAAATAGGATGATTGATGACTCTTAGGACCAGATACATGCCAGTGGCATGTGGAAGCTGGTTCACATTGACCTGCAGAAGCCGATTGTGTGCATCTCTTCCAAGTCTGCACCTTTAAATTGGCCTTCACAGCAGCATTTACACTAGGAAAATTGGCAAATACTGCTATAGGAATACCTCATTTTATTGCACACTGATTTGTTGAGCTTCACAGATATTGCATTTTTAAAATACAAATTGAAGGTTTGCAGCAACCCTAAGTCCAGCAAGTCTATTGGTGCCACTTTTCCAACAGCATATGCTTACTTCATGTCTCTGCATCACACTTCAGTAATTCTCGCCATGTTTTAAACTTTTTTAAATCATATCTCTTATTGTGAATCTGTGATCAGCTACTGTTGCAATTACTTTGGAGTGACATGAGCAGCACTCATATATGATGGTGAACTTTGATAAATGTTTTGGGTGTTCCAATTGCTCCACCAAATGTTGTGGGCATTCCAACTGCTCCATCAAATGGCCATTTCCTTGTCTCTCTCCCTCTCCTGGGGCCTCCCTAGTCTCTGAGACAAACAATGTTGAAATGAGGCCAGTTAATAACCATGCAATGGCCATCAAGTGTTCAAAGCTTCAAGTATTAGGTTGGTGCAAAAGTAATGGTGGTTTTGCCATTACTTTTGCACCAACCTAATACTTTTGCATTACTTTTGTGCCAGCCTAATGAAAGAAAGAGTCTCACATCTCTCAGATTAAATCAAAAGCTAGAAATAATTAAGTTTAGGGAGAAAAGCATGTTGAAAATCCAGATAGGCCAAAATCAAGGCCTTCTGCACCATTTTGCCAAGCTGTAAATGAAAAGGAAAAGTTCTGGAAGGAAATTAAAAGTGCTACTGCAGTAAACACATGAATGATAAGAAAGCAGAACAGCCTTATTGTTGATATGGAGAAACAACAACAATGAGAAAGTTCAAGTGGTCTGGATAGAAGACCAAACCAGCCACAACACTCCCTTAAGCCAAAGCCTAATCCAGAGCGAGGCCCTAATTCTCTTCAATTCTTTAAAGGCTGGAGGAGGTGAGGATGCTGCAGAAGAAAAGTTGGAAGCTAGTAGAGTTTGGTTCGTGAGTTTTAAGGAAAGAAGCCATCTTCATAACATAAGAGTGCAAGGTGAAGCAGCAAATGCTGTTATTCATGACTCTAGGGCTGGGCTAGCCTCATAAAATCTCCCAACACCTAGTAGAATGTTTCTTGCATAACTGAGAGGAATGTGGCATGGATGTAGAAACTGTAGCAAGTTATCCAGCAGATCTAGGTAAGATCATGGATGAAGGTGGCTACGCTAAACAACAGATTTTCAGTGTAGACAAAATGGCCTTCTATTTGAAGAAGATACCATCTAGAAATTTTATACCTAGAGAGAAGACAGTGCCCGGCTTCAAAGCTTCAAAAGACAGGCTGATGCTCTTGTTAGGGGCTGATGCAGCTGGTGACTTTAAGTTAAAATCAATTCTTATTTACCATTATGAAAACTCCAGGGCCCTTAAAAATGCTAAACCTATGCTGCCTGTGCTCTATAAATGGAGAAATAAAGCCTGGATGATAGCATGTATGTTTAAAGCATGTTTTACTAAAAATTTTAAGCCCACTATTGAGACCTACTACTCAAAAAAGAAAGATTTCCTCCAAAATATTATTGCTCATTAACAATGCGCCCAGTCACTCAAGAGCTCTGAAGATGTACAGGGAGATTAATTTTGTTTTCATGCCTGCTAATGCAACATCCATTCTGCATCCCATGGATCAAGGAGTCATTTCAATTTTCAGGTCTTATTATTTAAGAATATATAACATGTATTTTTTAAGACTATGGCTGCCATAGATAGTGATTTATCTGTTTGATCGTAAATGGAAAACTTTCTGGGAAGGATTCACCATTACAGATACCATTAAGAACATTTGTGATTCATGGATGTCAAAACGTCAACATTAACAGGAATATGGAAGGAGCTGATTCCAACTCATGGGTGACTTGGGAAGGTGGTGGTTCAGGATATCAGTGGAGAAAGTAACTGCAGATGTGATGGAAATAGCAAAAGAACTAGAATTAGAAGTAAAGCTTGAAGATGTGACTGAATTGCTGCCATCTCATGGTAAATTTTTTTTTTTTTTTTGAGACAGAGTCTTGCTCTGGTAAAAAATCTCATGGTAAAATTTAAAAGGACAGAGTTCCTGCTTACGTATAAGCAAAGAAAGTGATTCTTCAGATGAAATCTACTACTGGTGAAGATGCTGTGAACACTGTTGAAATGACAGCAAAGGATTTAGAATATCACATGAATTTAGTTGATAAAGCAATGGCAGACTTTGAGGATTAACTCCAAGTTTTAAGGAAGTTCTACTGTGAGTAAAATGCTATCAAGCAGCATCACATGCTACAGAGAAAGCTTGTTTGGAAAAAAAGAGTCAACTGACATGGCTAACTTTATTGTTGTCTTATTTTAAGAAATTTCCATAGCCACCTCAACCTTCAAGAACTACCACCCTGAGGTAGCTGTGGAAATCTCTTAGAATAAGACATTGCAAAAATATTACAATTTGCTGAAGATTCAGAAGATCATTGGTATTTTTTTAGTAATATAGTGTTTTAAAATTAAGGTCTATTCATTTTTTAGGCATAGTGCTATTGTACACCTAGTAGACTGTAGTATAGTGTAAATATAAGGTTTATATGCATTGGGAAGCCAAAAAATGTGTGTGATAAACTTCATTGTGATGTTTACTTTAGTCCAATAATCTGGACCCAAACTTGCAATATCTCTGAGGTATGCCTGTAATCAGGGGGCTTTTTTCCCTCCCAGTGCTTGTCTACCAGCACATCACTGGCTGTACCTCTACCCCCTGTAGCCTCAACACAATGCAAAATCTTAAGAATTACATTAAATTTCTACCATCTAGTGAAATGATAGCTCAAAGTAAATATTAAATCATTATCATAAAATTATGATATCACATTTTGTGCACAACTGAGATTGTGAAATGAGATTCATACTCTATATATCTAGCAAGCTAGCTATCACAAAAAGTATTCTTTAGAAATGCTGTAATAAAATAACTGGATGTTTTAAACAAGTCTTAAAATTTACGTTGTCTATTACTTTATTTGAAGAAAGGAACCACCCAGCATTTGGCATAGCACCAGAGATGCATATATTTAATACCTAATCTTTTCAATATAATGGCATATTATACCAGCAGTCATAATTATTGCCTGATGTATGCCTTTGAAAATTGTTTAAGTAGAACTTTTTATTCTCTCCCTTTCTTTTGAAACACCCCTTGGGGGAGAGGTGGGGGGTGGTGCCGTGGCTCATGCCTGTAATCCCAGCACTTGGGGAGGCCCAGGCAGGAGGATCACTTGAGCCCAGGAGTTTGAGACCAGCTTGGGTGACATGGCAAAGTCCCATCTCTATTTAAAAATAGAAAAATTAGCCAGGCATGGTGGCACATGTCTGTGGTCCTAGCTACTCAGGAGACTGAGGTGGGAGGAATGCTTGAGCCCAGGAAATCAAGGCTACAGTGAGCTGAGATCATGCCACTGCACTCCAGCCTGGGTGACAGAGCAAGACCCTGTCTAAAAATAAAAAAAAGAAGAAAGAAAAACTCTTTTTCTTTCTTGTTGATTCTTTCATCATTGCTGCTTCTCACTGTTTGCTGATTTATGAGGGCAAATGCTGTTGAGTTCAGCCCATGAGAAACCTGTGGGTTGTAGAAAAAAATCTAATAATTATTTGGACCATTTTGATGTTGTGATATTTTAATGGATTGAATATCTCTGGGTGCCATTAGAGAATTTCCATTTCAATGGTCATGGAATGCCATCTTTACCAAATCTTACCTGCTCTGATGCTGTGTGCTGGATAAGGGGAGACTGAGTACCACCATTCTGCCTTGGCGTTTTGCAACCCCAGAATGATCGGTGTTACTTGCTGATGGACATGGATTTATATTTTAGATTTTAGATGTAAGTTTTTGTGTTACTTTATTACAATAATAAGCAGGTTGATATAGTACTTAGGCTTCTATTATCATCCTGAGGTATATAATAGGAGTTTAAGATATTCTTATAATCCTTAGACCAAAGGCCCATTCAGACTAGTAAGTTGTTTTAACAGAGAGAGAACTAGTGTAAGAATGTATTAATCATTGTGAATTTTATACAGAGAAATAACCATTTTTCTAAAGTTTTAAATTACTGTCTATGATGAAAGTAACCTGTTTCCATGGCATTTTCTTCTAAAATGTTAGTGAAGAAAGAAGCAGAAGAAAGAAGAAAGCTCTGGAGAGTTATTCAAAGCAATCAAAGGGACTTAATAATAGGAGAACAAGTCATTCATTTGTTTCTAAAGCTCTGGCAAGAGGTGATGATACTAAGAAGATAGTTCTGTTAAACACAGAGAATCAAGTATGAGCTGAGGTTCATACTCAACCTGAAACCTGGGTTAGAACATTTATTCTTCTCTTGCTTCAAGCAACTCAGCTGCAAAAGGGGCAAGCCATCATGAATAAATAATAATAGACTTTTTTAAAATGGATGTAAAATGAATGTTTTCAAGGAATATCTGTTTCAGGTTCCTGGAGGTTAGGGTGTGCGTGGGAAAATGATAGTCTGCGGCCTATACTCAGAGGCATCTTTTAAATTATAAAAAACTATTGTATCATTTACAAACTTACCTGATATACATTTCTGCAGCTACAAAAAAAAAGCATTTATTTACTTATTTTTGAAATAGAGTTTCCCTCTTGTTGCCCAAGCTGGAGTGCAATGGCGTGATCTTGGCTCACTGCAACCTCCGCCTCCCGGGTTCAAGCAATTCTCCTGCCTCAGCCTCCCAAGTAGCTGGGATTACAGGCACGAGCCACCACGCCTGGCATTTTGTTTGTACTTTTAGTAGAAACAGGGTTTCACCACATTAACCAGGCTGGTCTCAAACTCCTGGCCTCAGGTGATCTGCCTACCTCAGCCTCCCAAAGTGCTGGGATTACAGGTGTGAGCCACCGTGCCCGGCCAAAAAAAGAGTATTTAAGTTTACTTTATGCTACAGGAACAATAAGTCGACTGGATAGGTTATGTCCAATGGAATTTATTCATTAGGCTGATGTCAAAAGTCAGAAGCATCTCAGAGTTAACGTGATCAAATCTATTCAATTGTTATTTCTCACTGAAATTTTACTCATTTTTTTTAAATTGCTGTGAAAGGCATAGTAAGCAGGTAGATTCGAACCCTCTTCCTTTGTACTACCATATACTGTTAACTTAAAGAGAACCTGCCATAAAGTACGGTAGTTAAATTTGTCTTCTATAATCTTGTCTTTTCCTGTAACTCTGAAGGCCTTGAGTGTAAGGTCACACTTTGTTCAATGTTGTATGACTGGCACCCAATATAGTTCTAGCATCCAGCAGGTATTCAATACATAATTGTGTGCAATGACTTAGCCTGAGTATTTTTTATTTTTACCCTTTATTCCAAATGTTCATATCCTATTGCTACATGATTCTTAAATGCCCCTTTGATACTTCTTGTACATAATTAAAGAAATCTCATTCCTTTTCTTGCATTCCTATGAGGAAATCCTTGCATAATACCTTTGTCCATGACACATCAGTTTAAATACTCCCACCAGAAAAGAAGTTGCATAAATTGAAGAAATTTTTGTGTCACCTCAACCACCCTTCCCCAACTACTCAGAAATACTAGAATATCTGAAATATACAACAGTGATTTTAACAGAGTTTCTAAACAGAAATTTAAGGTTAAGTTTCAGAAAGAAAACATAGCAAGCAACATCGGCAATTCATGTGGAAGCTCAAATCCCTGTGCTCCTCAGATTTTATTTTCCACGTATTCTTCACTCTACTTGCATGGCTGAGGCATGGACAGGTGAAGGGACCTAGGTCAACTTCCCTGGAGCTCAAGGTGTGGGCCTTTTCCCAGACTTTTCCAGAGATGGAGAAGTTCTCACATCTGTGACATATTTCTATGTGCTTCCTGGTTTCAGTTGAAATCTTACTCTCACAGCTCGGGCCCTTTTAATGGAGAAGAGAAAAAAAATTACAAGTTCTTGGCTCCATTTGATATCACTTTTACTCTCCTGCTGTCAGAGCCACTTTGTTTCTCTTTCCTTTCCTACAACCACCTTGGCCACTTTCTCTGTCTTGACTTTCCTTTGATGGCCAAGGCCTCCTCCAATCACCTTGAGTCTTCTCCTCCTGCTAAGTTGTTCAGCTGTTCCCACCTCCTCTCCCCACAATCTTGCCTGAGTACATAGAATCAGCCTTCTCAGTCCTGTATCTCTGGCCTTGACTGAATGAAGGCACAAGCCCTGCGTAGGTGCCAAACTGAGAGATCAGCCAATGGTCATCTTCTGCTGCTAACTCTGGACTGGGACACTTGCTTTCTTCAATCACTTGTGCCAGATGTGTGAACTCCTTTCCTCTTCCCTGGGCCTCTTAGCTGGCTTTTCCTGGGCAGCTGTGTCTGGACTATTTAACACCGGTAGTCAAATTTATGGTCCTAGTCTCACTCTAGCTAAAAAAAACTTTCCTCACAATTTTTTTAACAATGACTTCAATAAAGTGCAATGAAAACCAAACTAATCTTTTGTTCAACAGTCCCAATTCTGAAATTACACATATGTTCAATATTAGGTCTAAATATCTCCCCTTTCTTTAATTCCACTCTGATTCCCTTCCATTCTGTAAAGGTTGCCCTGATTCATTGGAAGTGGCATGCTAAATCCATGGTCAGGTAAGGAAGGTGCAACATGGGAGAAGATAGGGGTCCGCAAGAGAGGACCAGCTGGCCTCTAACAGTCTATCTGCAGAGAGGCTGGACCTCATCCTTAAAAGATGTGCAATAATGGTCAGATTTGCTCTTGGCATCTGCCACTTGGACTTTGAAGTTGTGTTTGGGAAGAGAAGGAGACTGTGATTCATTATACTTCACAAGCCTGCTTAGTCTACTGCAATCAGTTTGGGGCCAGCTGTCAGAGCCAGGGAGCTGCTGCCTCCATTATCGACAGTCAGAACGGTCAGTCTTCAAGAACCACTTACTTCTGGATGAGCTGATGGTGCCCACATAGGTGGTAGCTGATGTGGACCCAGGCCCAGTGAGGGTGGGCTTCCAGTCTCCATTTGTGAAGAAACAGCCTGCTGGAGGCCACTGTGCTTATTTCATATTTGCCTCTTGAGTTCTCATTCTCCCCTCCCATTCCCTGCAGAGGCTCTATGGGGACAGCAACCCAGACTCTCCAAAACCTCTGCCGGTGGTTCTTTCAAGTGAGAAGTCCAGGCTGCACTCCCAAAGTCCTTCTCTCTCATTTTTATCATCAGGAGAATAGAAAATCATGGGAGAGAAAAGAAAAATGCAAGCCTGTTGACTGTTATTTAACAGCTTAACTATTTCGCATGCCAATACATATTCTTCTACCTCGTGAATTTTTATAGCTGCATTGTAATCCATTCTATGGATTTACTATGCTTTAACCTATCTCTGCTTAAGAGCATTCTTTTGTCCATCCATATGGCTTTAGACCTTTAGTGAGATCCACAGGGCAGAGGCAATCTGCTTACTTGCACAGCCCAGGGAATTTGAACTAGCCCCTCAGAGGATATTACTTTTGAAATAACGTATTTGTGTATAGGCAGTTTCCATACTAACAGATACACGGAGAAGGATGGGCCACCAATTCACTTACACCCATGGTATGGTTTCAATTTGTCTCCCCATCCAAATCTCATGTCGAATTGTAATCCTCAGTGTTGGAAAAGGGGCCTGGTGGGAGGTGACTGGATCATTGGGCAGGTTTCGCCCTTGCTGTTCTCCTGATAATGAGTGAGTTCTCACAAGATGTGGTTGTTTAAACATGTGTAGCTCCTCCCTCTCCACTCTCTCTTCCTCTGGTTTCAGCCATATAAGATGTGCCTCCTTCTCCTTCGCCTTCTACCATGATTGAAAGTTTCCTGAGGCCTCCCCAGCCATGCCTCCTAAACAGTCTGTGGAACTGTGGACCAATTAAACCTCTTTTCTTTATGAATTACCAGCTTCAGGTATTTCTTTACAGCAGTGCAAGAACAGACTAATACAGTCCATTTTATTTTTCAGGAAATGTATGAGACTACATCTATTTTTGGAGGGAAAAGATTCAGCTGTGTTAGCCAGCCATTCTTTCCCAGCCTCTTTTTAGCTGAAACCTTGGAGGATGCTGTTTTCTGTTTTATTAAGAGAGGCATGTCCCTTGTGGCACTCAGAAACAATTTGGTTTGCTCTACAGCAGACTTGGAGTGGCCAAGGGTCCCGACAGACACAAACACCTGAGACCATGACAGAGTACCCTAAATTACCAAGGGGAATAAGAGGGAGGAGAGGAGAAAAAAGTAAGAAGAAAACAAATGACAGTTATTTAAATAAAACCCACAAAATCAGAGCAAAATGACTTTTGTCAGGGTTGAAGTGTTATATTTTGTTTCACTGAGAGATAAGTAACATTTACAATGCCAATTATTCACATTTAATTAATCATTGTCCAACATCTGCTATGTACATGTCAATACATAATCCCTTGTCACATTGTTACCCTTGGGTGGCGAGTGGGAGGGAGAGTTTATGTTTACATTTTTTATATTTGAAGAATCAGCCCTGTGTGTGGCAGTTAACTGGCTGCTCCCATCTGCAGCATCAATTTGTTAGATTATTAGCTTTTCTTGAGACGAGAAATGGTAAAATGTACTTGGCTTTCCTTATCCTCAACAGAACAATGAGTATTTTTACAAAATTGGCCAGTATAATCTATGTCTCATAGCTAGCTTTTATACCTTTTTTTTTTTTCATTTTTTGGCTTGGTTGATACTGACATCAGACTAAATAAAACATAACAGAGATGTTTGAAAAGTGGTCAATCTCAAAGGCACAGGGGAGTGTGATTTAGAAATTGACAACTAGAGCATGAGCAATAGTCTGTTTCCAAGGTTAAGGTTACAGAAAACCGCCAAGGTCAATGCTTTTCAGCATGAGATTATAGATTGTGTTGCTTAAGATAAACAGAGAACTCACATCAGTTTCCATAATATTATGAATCCCCGTCCAATGCCATTTTTGCCAAGTTTAGCTAGAAAGTTTATCTACTTATAATTACATTAAATCTGCATTAATCACAGCCTAGTTCATCTGAATTATTGTGAATTATGGCTACCAAATATTCTCAAAATACCTGTATAATGTTAAAATTGACCAATCATGTATGGTCAATAAGTACCATCTATTGGTATTGAATAAAGTTTCCATAATTTCATCCATTGCAAATCTATTAGAAATGATGCATGACTATGTTTTGAAGTATTACTAATAATAATATTTCAAATTGGTACATGTTGACGTTTATGCTTCTTATCAGAGAATCTAAAAGTGACTTCCTTTCTTTCTATATTTTAGTTGTTTTCAATAATATTTACATTGAGGAGCAATATATATATATATATATATATATATAACTAATTAAGATCCTTATAATGAGCTATGTTACTTTACAATTGTATGTTCACACTGTAATGGGGTATATAGTATTCTGACTATTAAAACTTTGCCTTCATACAAAGAAACATCCATATGTAATATCAAAATATGTATTATTCACTCAAAACTATCATCTCAGCTAGGTAAACAAATCATCCCCAGATATCCTACCTTCTGTAAGCTTACATAGACTTTTCTTTTGATTCTCATTCTTTCTCCCTCCTCCTCCTCCTCCTCCTCCTCTCTCTCTCTGTCTCTCTCTTTCACTGTCTCTTTCCCTACAGCCACTAATAGCTCTTTTCAGTCTCCTAAATGCTATGAGATTTGAATGACAAGGACTGAAATATTTATCTAATTTGACCCTCTCAATAAGGAATGGGGAAACAAGCCAGAGAAGGGAAATGACTTTGTGAGAATCACATGGCTAGGGATGAAGATGGGCTGGAATTCACATTCTTTCAACTTCCCTTCAGTGCTGTCTTCAGACTCATTTTTACTTAAGTTTCCAAAAAATAACTATCGTTTCACTCTGAAATGATGCATATGAATATACGACAATTCATATTATCTCCATGAATATTTTTTATCAAATATTTATAATATTTAATATTTATAATATTGGTTTAATATTATTTATCATATTTTAAAAGAATGTTTAATATGTTTAATATAAATATAATATTTAATATTATACAGGTATTTGAGAATATTTGGTAGCCAATATTAAATATTGATACAAAATAAAGTTTACTTCTATACTTTTTTATTATTTCTTCCTTAATCTCCAGGTCACTAGATTTTGTATTCTAACATTGGTAACATAGTCACATGTATTTGACTGGGTTTAGACAGTAATTCACTGGTGAATGTGGAAGGATCTATGTATCTAGGGTCAGGACCACAAGGAATACCAATCTCTATGGATCCCAATGTTTGATGATTGAAAACATGACCTAGACCCTGAAACTTTGACAAGGAGGAGATAGAGAAACCCTGATTTTAATGACTAAATGCCAATTACAATGCCAATTATTTAGGACATTTAGGAAACTCAGAATTAATTCATTACCTAGAACTAATTCAATCTTCTTATGGATTAAAATGATATACAAGGCAAATTAAATGTTACAGAAAAATTTTAAACGTTAGATGTCTTACACTCTTGAGTTTTGTAGATCAAAGTGTTCATTTTCCTGCCTACCCTCTTCATATTGTTTGATGTTGCAATGACTTTATGTGTCTGTCTCTCTTACCAGACTATAAACTCTACTTATTAGAGAGAACAATTTAGTCTTCTTTATATTCCCAGACCTTTGGCATATAGGAGATGATGAGTGAGTGTTTCTGATTGCATAAGTGGCCTCGATGACTGCCACCCTATAGCCACACTCCTTGGTGTGTAACTTTGTAGCTTTCCTATTAAAAGGTGGAGTCTGTTTTCCCACCCTTTGAACCTGGGATAGACTTTTCATCTGCTTTGCCCAATAGAGTGCGATAAAAGTGTTCTAATTCTGACCCTTGGCCTACAGAGGTCTTCCACATTTCTGCCCCTCCTTTGGGAACTCTGCCACCACTCCGTCAATGAGACTTACATTATTGTAGCAGTAGACAGCTAATATAGTTTCTCAAATCAATTAATCACTCAAAAACAATAAATGACTTACCTAATAAGAAAGTGGTTAAACGCTCAGTATTCACGGGCTCAAGGCTTCTTGGTTTTCCTGGTCCCTTTCATTTTTCTGTCTAATGCCTCATTGACCATTAGTGTATTCCAAAGTGCAATGATTCAGAAAGAAGTGTTATCCACACATTTGCCTCTTTCTGGATGTGTGACCTTAGACAAGTCACTTAATCACGGTTTCAGTTTCATCTTTTACAGAAGAAAGAGAATGATCCTACCTTGTCAATCTCAAGGATTATTATACTGTAGAAAATATCTGGGGAAGTGTTTTAAAAGCTATTGCATGCTCCTCACATGCTGAATGGAAAAACACAGCTGCTAGCCTCTTTGTGAAGGGTGAGAGGAGGGTGGGAAAATGAAGAAGTGGGAGAAATGTAGGATGATTGATAATCCTGGGGACTCCCAGGGTCAAATGGTAACTGTGAATCTGTACGCACATACTTCATTCTCCGCTAGCGTTATCAAGCTTGGTGATGGATTTCTTTTCTTGACAAATTGCCATTGCAGGTTATTGCCTAGATGATATTTCCACAAATGGAAAATCATTCTCTATTGCCTGAATGGCACTAAAGAAAGTTGTTATTTCCCATCTGATTCCATAGAGCTTGAATTCACATTTACCAGCAAGAGGGTTAATAAAAACAGAAGTACAGCCAATAGCAATTGAAAAATGTTACTTCTCTATCTGGCTACAATGTGTCACCTTATATGTTGCATCCTCTGAATGATAAAACATAATTTACTGAATCAAAAAGTAAATCTGAAATCCAATTCTAGATTCTCAATAACATGAGACCTGTTTAAGTAGATTTTTCTATTGACTTTGAAATAAAAAAGAAGTGGTGAGAAAGACAGGATAAAAAATGAGCATATGTTTAAAGATGGCCCTTTAATATTTATGTCAAAAGAACTAGTAATATAGTTACAGTAGTCTCATCTATTGATTTATAAAGTGACTTACCTGTGAAAATATTTAACTCCATTTTCAATGTATTTGAAGAAATTGTGGGTGAAGCTGGATGCCTTTATCTGATTACTGAGTAAGAAGAAAAGAAGTTTAATAATGGTTATTTCCTCACTATAACATTTTGATGAAAATAAAAGATCCCTTCAAAACAGAGTTATGATTTTCTCTTTTAATCATTTTTCTAAAAATGCACATGTGATGTGGCATTTTTAATTTTAAAAATTACTATAAGAATCCCTTTAAAAATTACCTTTTGGTTACAATGCTCACTGTTTGGGTGATGGGCACACTGGAAGCCCAAAACTCACCATTACCCAATATATCCATGTAACAAAACTGCACATGTACCCCGTACATTTATTTAAAAAAAAAAAAACAAAACAAAACTCAATGGTCCTTTTACTTTTTATCTTAGATGGCCAAGTATTAAAGAGAGGTCTGCAACATGTCACTTCTGCTGGTAACAAGACAATGACTGAAGCAGGATTTCTATGTGGTAATTGCAAAGACGGCAACACATTCCTTCCTTCATTCGTTCATCCATAATTGCTCCCATGTATTCAAAAATATTTATTTACACTAAATGTTAGGCACAATGCCAAATATATCTTTATTAAGACATGATATATCCTGCCTCATTTTATATTTATATAAATTGGTAGGCCTAGTAGCTTATAACATCTCTTCCCTCTTTCTCTTCTTCATTCTCTTCTTTATCGTCTATCTTCTACTTCATCATCATCATCATCATCATATCTAATCTTTTATCGATCTTCATATTCTCTCAGTGCTTTGCACATACTAGGTAGTCAATAAAAGTTTGTTCAATTAATATGAATTATTAAAGTAACTTTATTTACTTTTGGGGAGGTCAAGTGCTATATTGTTTGCATTAAATGCAATATTTACTCAAATTATTTCAATAAAATATAAAATATATATTATCATTTCCAATTTACAGATGAGAAATTCTATGCTGAAACATTAAATCACTGACTCAAAGTCATATAAGTGGTCAGGTAAGGAGCTTGCCTTAGACCTAATCAAATGGTGTACAGGATGTTGTACTGAAAGAAAAATATTATAAATTCTATTCGTATTTTTAGCTAAGAAATTTAAAAAGTTAAGTTTTCTTGACATTTAATAAACACATTAATATCAGTAGATGTATGCCACTTTAAATAAATATACATATACCGGCCGGGTGCAGTGGCTCACACCTGTGATCCCAGCACTTTGGGAGGCTGAGGTGGGCGGATCGTGACGTCAGGAGATCAAGACCATCTGGGCTAACATGGTGAAACTCCATCTCTACTAAAAATACAAAAAATTAGCCGGGCGTGGTGGCGGGCGCCTGTAGTCCCAGCTACTCAGCAGGCTGAGGCAGGAGAACGGCGTGAACCCGGGAGGCGGAGCTTGCAGTGAGCCGAGATCTCGCAACTGCACTCCAGCCTGGGCTACAGAGCAAGACTCCCTCCCCCCAGAAATAAATAAAAATAAAAATAAATAAATAAATAAATGTACATATACCTAGTCAGATTTTTCAAAAATTTTTACTTGAAGGGGAATACAACCAAAGTATTTTTTAATCCATTGCTACATACCAGTTATAAACTGGATTGTGGCCTATTGATGGCAAGAGAAATAAAATTAGAAGATATAACTCTAGATTCTATTTGACTGGGATAGGATAGAATAGGATAGGATCATATCGGATAGGATAGGATAGGATAGAATAGGATAGGATAAGATCGGATCGGATAGGATAGGATATCATTGGATCCGACAGGACGGGGCAGGGCAGGGCAGGGCAGGATAGGATAGGATAGAATAGGATCGGATAGGTGTCATAAATTTGTTAAGTATACTTGCTGCCTTGGCATCTATGTTTAGGCCTACGTAGTTATTTAAAACCCAGTCACCTTTGGCATGTTAAAACTTTCTCTCCCTCTGTGGTTGTTTGCAATATAGCCTGCTTGTTCCTCATTTCACTGACCTAAAATGCAACCTACTCCACAACTGGTAACCAGGATGAAGCCTAATGGTCAACACCAGAGTCAGGAAAATGAGGTCGCCCTTCACGTGGGTTTTCTTTAGCCAATCCACAAGTCCCACAGGAAAGCCTAAGGGGTAGACCGATGGATGTTAATAAAGAGATAGTCCCACAGGTTTCCCCCAACACCTCTGTCTATCTCTATCAATCTCTCTAGATCCCCACCTGGTAGTTGAACCTTCTGGACTTCTTGTTGCCTCTTGTTGGCACCCTTAACCTCTCTGACCTATGAGTAATAAATTTAGTCTGTCTCATGCATTTTATGTTCACCTCCTCATTCATTGTGTCTCACCTGACACACACACCCAAGTCACACACAAGTCTGACTTTCCTTTGGTCAGGGCTCACCTACTGAATGGCTGTCTGGGCTTAGGGCCACTCTTGAGACCAAATTAAGAAGAAACCATAACAAATTAAAATCATGATAGGATAGAAAGGAATATAAAGACATAGAGTGAAATAGGATGGACCAAAATAAAAGAGTATCAATGAGATATACATGTTTTAAATAATGTTTTGAGACATTTTAGCACGTATGTTCTTTTGTGATGTATTAAAATATCCTTCTAACCATAGATGACAATCTAAAAGTTGTTCTAAATCACTACACTTTACTTCAAAGAGCTGCAAGCTCAGACACCCCAATCATTTTGTGTGGCCAGCAAAAAAAAAAAAAAAAAAAAAAAATTCTAGCAGAGGTACAAGGAGGACCTGGTACCATTCCTTCTGAAACTATTCCAATCAATAGAAAAAGAGGGAATCCTCCCTAACTCATTTGATGAGGCCAGCATCATCCTGATACCAAAGCCTGGCAGAGATACAACAAAAAAAGAGAATTTTAGACCGATATCTCCAATGAACGTTGATGCAAAAATCCTCAATAAAATACTGGCAAACCGAATCCAGCAGCACATCAAAAAGCTTATCCACCATGATCAAGTGGGCTTCATCCCTGGGATGCAAGGCTGGTTCAACATATGCAAATCAATAAACGTAATCCAGCATATAAACAGAACCAAAGACAAAAACCACATGATTATCTCAATAGATGCAGAAAAGGCCTTTGACAAAATTCAACAGCCCTTCATGCTGAAAACTCTCAATAAATTAGGTATTGATGGGATGTACCTCAAAATAATAAGAGCTATTTATGACAAACCCACAGCCAATATCATACTGAATGGGCAAAAACTGGAAGCATTCCCTTTGAAAACTGGCACAAGACAGAGGATGCCCTCTCTCACCACTCCTATTCAACATAGTGTTGGAAGTTCTGGTCAGGCAATCAGGCAGGAGAAAGAAATAAAGGGTATTCAGTTAGGAAAAGAGGAAGTCAAATAGTCCCTGTTTGCAGATGACATGATTGTATATTTAGAAAACCCCATTGTCTCAGCCCCAAATCTCCTTAAGCTGATAAGCAACTTCAGCAAAGTCTCAGGATACAAAATCAATGTGCAAAAATCACAAGCATTCTTATACACCAATAACAGACAAACAGAGAGCCAAATCATGAGTGAACTCTCATTCACAATTGCTTCAAAAAGAATAAAATACCTAGGAATCCAACTTACAAGGGATGTGAAGGACCTCTTCAAGGAGAACTACAAACCACTGCTCAACGAAATAAAAGAGGACACAAACAAATGGAAGAACATTCCATGCTCATGGATAGGAAGAATCAATATCATGAAAATGGCCATACTGCCCAAGGTAATTTATAGATTCAATGCCATCCCCATCAAGCTACCAATGACTTTCTTCACAGAATTGGAAAAAACTACTTTAAAGTTCATATGGAACCAAAATAGGGCCCGCATTGCCAAGACAATCCTAAGCCAAAAGAATGAAGCTGGAGGCATCACGCTACCTGACTTCAAACTATACTACAAGGCTATAGTAACCAAAACAGCATGGTACGGGTACCAAAACAGAGATATAGACCAATGGAACAGAACAGAGCCCTCAGAAATAATACTACACATCTACAACCATCTGATCTTTGACAAACCTCACAAAAACAAGCAATGGGGAAAGGATTCCCTATTTAATAAACGGTGCTGGGAAAACTGGCTAGCCATATGTAGAAAGCTGAAACTGGATCCCTTCCTTACACCTTATACAAAAATTAATTTAGGATGGATTAAAGACTTAAATATTAGACCTAAAACCATAAGAACTCTAGAAGAAAACCTAGGTAATACCATTCAGGACATAGGCATGGGCAAGGACTTCATGTCTAAAACACCAAAAGCAATGGCAACAAAAGACAAAATTGACAAATGGGATCTAATTAAACTAAAGAGCTTCTGCACAGCAAAAGAAACTACCATCAGAGTGAACAGGCAACCTACAGAATGGGAGAAAATTTTTGCAATCTACTCATCTGACAAAGGGCTAATATCCAGAATCTACAATGAACTCAAGCAAATCTACAAGAAAAAAACAAACAACCCCATCAAAAAGTGGGTGAAAGATATGGACAGACACTTCTCAAAAGAAGACATTTATGCAGCCAACAGACACATGAAGAAATGCTCATCATCACTGGCCATCAGAGAAATGCAAATCAAAACCACAGTGACATACCATCTCACACCAGTCAGAATGGCGATCATTAAAAAGTCAGGAAACAACAGGTGCTGGAGAGGATGTGGAGAAATAGGAACACTGTTACACTGTTGGTGGGACTGTATACTAGTTCAACCATTGTGGAAGACAGTGTGGTGATTCCTCAAGAATCTAGAACTAGAAATACCATTTGACCCAGCCATCCCATTACTGGGTATATACCCAAAGGATTATAAATCATGCTGTTATAAAGACACATGCACACGTATGTTTATTGTGGCATTATTCACAATAGCAAAGACCTGGAACCAACCCAAATGTCCACCAATGATAGACTGGATTAAGAAAATGTGGCACATATACACCATGGAATACTATGCAGCCATAAAAAAGGATGAGTTCATGTCCTTTGTAGGGACATGGATGAAGCTGGAAACCATCATTCTCAGCAAACTATCGCAAGGACAAAAAACCAAACACCACATGTTCTCACTCATAGGTGGGAATTGAACAATGAGAACACTTGGACACAGGAAGGGGAACATCACACACCGGGGCTGTTGTGGGGTGGGGGAAGGGGGGAGGGATAGCATTAGGAGATATACCTAACGTAAATGACGAGTTAATGGGTGCAGCACACCAACATAGTGCATGTATACATAGGTAACAAACCTGCACATTGTGCACATGTACCCTAGAACTTAACGTATAATTAAAAAAAATAGTTATGGGACACATTCCTCAGTGGCCATAAGTCCCACCAGATCTTAGTTTCATCTGGTTCAGTTTGTGAAACTCACACCCTACGGGCTTGCTCCATGTAAGCAACTCTGATCTTCAGTCTTTCTTATCTGTTGATTTCTGTTGTCTCCATAACTGATTTCAGAATAACCATAAGACAAATCCTCTGGCTAGTAATCTTAACAGATAAAGAGGACCCAGTTGTTAAGACAGATTTATCCCAATCACATTGTTTCATCTTAATGCATGCTATAAAGTCACCACATAAGAATAAAAGCTATAGCATGATACTGATCATATCTATTATTTCTGAGAACTTGCTAAATGTTTGGCACTGTGCTACACCTTTTATAGAACTACTAATTTTGAAAATGACCTATAACATGCATATTATTATACTGGTTATATTTTATAGACAAGCAAATTGAGGCTTAAAGAGGTAAGTGATCTTGTTCAATGTTACACAGCTATGTGGCAGAACCAGAAATCAAGTCCAGATATATCTAATCCAAACTCTTCAACTATTCTCTCATCAGTATTAGGTGTATGGCTAGAAATTTTATTCTCAGAAACTACAAGACATCATCTGAATTCAAAAAAGAATGCAATCAATTTCACTCTTTCTATAGCTACTTTCTGAGCATTGATTCCCATGACCTTCCCCAGGACCATAAGAATAGATTCCCAGGGGCCTCCAATTTTCCTTCTTCTAACCCAGACTAAATACTGATGACCTTCCCTGTAACGCTTTCTAATAACTTTCCATGGTTCCCCTTTACCTGTACCACTTGTGATAGGTAGAATAATGGTCCCTTATAATTCCAAACCACTACAACCGCTATCATCACTATAGCTTATCTTTCATTAACCTTGTATCCTCTTAGTGTCTGGCAAAGGGTGAGTAACTAATCAAAATTTGGTCAATTAATATTAATTTTAAAATAATTACATGTATATTAGTACAGAGCCAAAACTCCAGCTCGAAACTCCCACCTGCTTTCATTACCCTTCCTGGTGGGCTTCTCTGCTTCCCCATTGGATTATAAGCTTCTTGTAGACCAGGATTATGTGATACTTCATTGTGTGAGCATGTAAATAGTTGATACTCAGTGTTCTTAATATAATTGAAATGTAAATTATTATGATTACACAGGGCCAGCATAATTAATAGGCCATACACTCAACTGAGAATACAAGAGATAAGTTGTTTGCACTGCAGATGGTATTTTCTAAAAATGAATAAAGTGGCATGAACTGAATGCAAGTTTATGTTATCTCTAGTTGAAAAGAAAAGTTTCTCTCTTAAGCACTATTACGCCTTCTTTTGGCAGCAGCAATAATTTTCTTCTTAAATTCACAAAAGTCCTAATTCTTGAAAAAGTATGCTAGAGCAATGTGGTTTACTCAAACAACAGCAAGCGCTCTCTGCATGATTCCTTTTCGAACTTTCTTTAAGCTGTAGTCCTGTCTCTGTAACAGCTTTTTCTCATTAACAGCATGTGTTGAATTTCAAGGTCTGATTCTCAATGGACTTAGGTGAGCAGCATTTAGCCAGAGGGCAAAGGTGCCACAGCCTGGAAGTTGTCAGAAGTTCATAGTAAACTGACATCTAGAATCAGAAATGGGAGGAGGGGAGGGGGCTAGGTACAAAAAAAATCAAAAAAGAAAAGAAAAAAAAGGCAAAATGTCCTGTGTTAAGAAGTTGCAACGAGTGAAGACAAAAAATTTATTTAAAGAAATCAAGTCCCTTGGAATGGTTTCATTGGTTAACACCTGTGAAATAGGTAAACCATATAGGGAAAGACGGTATACAACTCACCTGATTGAGGACAACACTGAAAAAGGGAACAGATTCAGACTCGCCCTGCATTATAAAAGGCGGATGGGGTGAGTACAGGGGCTGGGCACAGTAGCTAGCTCCTGTTCCCAGCACTTCTTGGGCTGAGGCAGGAGGATTGCTGGAGCCCAGGAGTTCAAGGCTGCAATGAGCTGTGACCATGCCACTGCACTCCAGCTTGGGCAACGGTGAGATCCTGTCGAAAAAAAAAGAAAGAAAAATGTTCCTTTCCCCTTTAATTTCACAAGAATATTAGAATGGGGAATTAGGTCATTTTGTGTAATACCTTAGATATCAATACAGAAGAATAAATGTCATGTGAACCCAAGTTACTGCTTTCTTGTCCTACCTTTTCCAGGGTGAATTGCAAACACACTTATGCACAATAAGCATCATGAGTGATGATGAACACAAAGCTAATTGACCTTAATGAACAGAACAGGCAAAACAATCCTTCTGGAATTCCACTGCATAGAATCACTCTTCAGAACACCTCTGCAGAGCAAGCAACAGAGTTTTGGAGTATTTTTAGATACCGCTACCTAGGCAGGATTTTCACTAGAAATGTGAGCAATAAAACACACACTGCCATCTTTGGGATTTGTGTGGATGCTTGGAGGTGATTAGACAGGCTAGTAGGATAATCTGTTATGGGGACAGAGCATATTTGGGAGATAAAATGAATGAAAGCAAAGGACTGCTTAGAAATCGTAGGTACGTTTGATACTTGGTTTACAATCTTTCCAGCTGTGAAAGGCTCCGCTTGGGTAGCCCAAAGCCAGTGCTGTCACTTTGCGATGTGTGAATTGAACTGAGCTCCAGCTGGTCGCTATCAAGGCTAATATAAGAGGCAGTATGGTGCCTCTACCTGGCCGAAGACATCCCCTAAGTGTGAAATGTCACATACCTCTTGTTGAAAGTCTGCTTATTCCTCTAATTTCATCACTGAGTTGTGTTGCACGGGGGAGTTCTTATTCCTGTCCTCCGTACAAATAGGCTTTTAGTGAATTAACTGACTGGGTTGGCAGATTGGAAACTATTGGAGAACAGGGTTATGAGGAAGGGGAGGCATTTTTCTTTGGCCCCCTTCTGTTCTCGCAGCTGCTGGAGGCTATCAGGGCCTTGAAACCTTGTTTATTAGCTGGGGGTTTTGAGATCTGCATCAGTGCTGGTGGGTGTTTTTATTTGACGTCTGCTGACTCACTTGTATTTTGAAGTACAGTCTGTGTCATTCCTCCAGTGTGACTTTTTTTGGAATGAGAGGGAATTATATTTTTAAAGAAAAAAACTTGATATTTCCACGAGCTTGATTTACTCCCTGTCTGGCTGTAATGTTAGTCAGTGTTTAAAAGTCAAGGACAAGCAATTAACAAAACTGTTTCTCCACTCCTTATTTTCAGGTTTATTTTTCTATCTCAGAAGTGTCTTTTGGTATAAAGCAATAGGGTTTTTTATGGTTGGCGTGCGTTGTAAACTTCAAAATGTTACCTCTGCTTAACTCCGCATAGTTTAACCCTTCATGGTTTAGAATGAAAGGAGAGTAATGTCATTCACCTCATTATTTTTAGTGTCTTTGCTGTACCAAGCACTGTGCTAATGCAATGAGATTCTTTGATTAAATAGAGGTTATAGCTAGTAAAAAAAGAAGGTATATCAATAAATAAGAATGATATGTAGTGCTGTCCATTTAACAGTTGAAGAAGTAAAGAAGGCTATTCGTTCTGAGTCAGTGCACCCTAACCCCAATCCAATACCCATCCCTTTATGCAATGCATGCCCCATGCCTCACTGTTTTGAATATTTATATTTGCATATTGCATACTGGCAGATTTCAGAAAGTGAGGAAGAAATAGTTCTAAGAATGAGAGTTTAGTTCAACCATAAATAACATGTTGTTGAAGTGAATACAGGTTAAACATAAAAAGCAGAGTAACACTCAATCAAAAAAGAAACAAAACAACAGCCTGGAGATTATTTCCTGAATGAATTATAACTGGCCATTTGAGGAAGCCTCAAAAGACAGAGTGCTATCCCAGTATCATTCAACTTGATGTGGTTTTAGGGAAATAGGAAAGGGATAAATTTGTTGGTCTGGTCTAATCTGTTCCCGCCCTTCTAAGAGCTCGGGTGGAAGAACAGCAGGCGCATTGAAATATACACTGAAAAGTATTTCTGAGAACCAAGTAGTAGGTGGTAAGCTGGGTGATTTGCAAACTGTTCAGTGACTTTTAATGACCCTTTAAAAATGTCCTAAGACAGTGCCTCTGAAACTTTAAAATACAGTCATCGAATGATGATATCGTTAAAATGCTGGTGCTGATTTAGAAAGTCTGGGAAGGGGCCTGGCAACTTGCTTTGCTAACAAATGCTCAGTCAGTGCCTAGGCTGCTGGTCTCAGGACTACACACTTTGAGTAGTGAGAATCTAAGAAACTGGGACTATAAATGGGCATTTCCAATGGGAATGGCGAGACTCACAAAGGAGCCCTCTGATAATCCTATTTCTAGTGACAAATCAAAGCTAAATAGTATACACAGGACTAGAAGTCAGTAATTAAAATTCAGGAATGTTTTAGAGGAATTAAAATCAGTAGGAGGGAAAATCCCTCTACAATATAAATGTAGATTTCTGAAAAAGAAAATACCAACTAGATTTTGAAATAAATGTGCTAAAGAGAATAAATATTAGGGACAACATGTTACAAAAGTAATTTTACAAGAATTGATAGGTAAGCTTGGACTATAATTTTAGACCACATATAAAATGACCTTTTCGAATCAGCAACTGGGAGAGTAGGTACATAGAAAAAAATGTATTGAACAGTTCGTCCCCAGTAAGCATATCATGAAATGTCAATTGGTATGGATACACTGACTATCTCACTTAGTAGTTATAAAAGAAACGTAACTACAGCCATTATGTAGTATATCAAGTAAATGGAACACATCCTTTTCACTTCTGTGAATTTGTCATTAGCTTTTTAGGAAACCCAGGTTTTTTTGTTTGTGTGTTTACTTATTTCATATCCTAATACTACTAGAGATGTATTCATCACATTATTTTACCACATAGTTTATGTTAAATGGCAATGGTGGCTTTTAAGTTCTAGACCTTACTTGAATGCAATAAAGAGTCTCAAAGTTTCAAGATCTCTCACTAGATTTTTGAATGTAAAAAAAAAAAAAAAAAGTCCTGACCATTCAATGTATTATTTAAAACTTCATTTAAATAGAAACTTATTATTAGAAGAAGAAAAGCACCCAAAATTATGACACAAAATGCTTAAGAGAAACTAATTTTTGGGGGGTTATAGTACTTTAAAAATCAACAAGAGAAATAGTGAAAATAGTAACAATTGTAATGATGGTGAGAAAACACAAAATCTAGAAAGTCATCAGCCAGTACATCAGTTTAAGGGAAAGAATGCCCATAATCCAAAACAGAGAATGAGCATTAGAGAACTCACATGATTAGAATCTGAGCCCAAGCTGAAGAAGTGTGCTTTGAATAATCAAAAGCCTAAGGTTTATAATATTGATATATGCTCAGTTGCTTTCACATTAATTTCAATTTAATCCAATAAATATTTTTGAGGCTGTTCTGAATACTAGGAATTCTTCTAAATACTAAGGGAATTCTGCTAGCCACAGATCAGAAAGGTACTCTAGAATCAGTTGTCACCCTCATGATAAATTCTGTACCTAACTGTCCCACCTTGCTTTATTGTACCTTACCCTCTGTTTCAAAGCATATGCAATCCCTGAGATCAGAGCTACATACAAATATATTAAACTGAGATAGAGCTGGGTACAGTAGCATGAGCCTGTACTCCCAGCTACTCAGGAGGCTGAGATGGGAGGATTGTTCGAGCCCAGGAGTTCAAGGCTGTAGTGTGCTATGTTCAGGCCAGTAAATAGCCAATTTACTCCAGCCTGGGCAACATAGTGAGATCCCATCATTAAATTTTTATTTATTTATTTAAACAGAGTCTTACTCTGTCACCCAAGCTGGAGTGTGGTGGTACAGTCATGGCCCACTGCAGCCTTGACCTCCGGGTCTCAGGCTATCCTCCTTCCTTAGTCTCTCGAGTAGCTGGGACCACAGGCACATGCCATCATGCCTGGCTAATTTTTAAATTATCTGTAGAGACAGGGTCTCACAGTGTTGCCTAGGCTGGTCAGTAACTCCTTGGCTCAGGTGATCCTCTGGCCTTGGCCTCCCAAAATGCTGGGATTTACAAGTCACTGTAAATCCTACCCTAAAAATTGAAAAAAAGTAAAAACCTGAGATAGCTAGAGCTTACTAAGAAACATAAACAAATTATGCAAATAGATACAATCTTCAATATAGAATTTCTATAAATTTGTTGGAAATATGTCATTGATCAGATTGAAAGATATTATGAGGAAGAAAGATAAGTCAATTCTCCTCAACTCCTGTTTCATTTTGAAAGAGCTTCAGTCTTTATATACAATAAATTTCTTAATATTCTCTTTATGATTACCTAATTGTGATGAAGAAAGTTGTAGTCTTACCTTGTATACTGGGATTTTTCCTGCAAAATATATGATGAACTTTCCCTTAGAGAAAAGAGAGACACATGTCATAGCATCTATGTTTGGTAATAAAGTAATTGTCAGTATGGCAATATGCTTTATTTTAAAATTTATCATGAGACGTGAGTTTGCCTTAGTGAACAAGATGTGGCCAAATGGTTAAGCTGAAATGCTTGTTCTCCATTAGGAAGATCAAGCAGACGAGTCACAAATCTTCAGAGGCCCTCTCCACATACCCTTGTCCTTCTCTCACCACATCCCCTTCCCACACACAGTCCTCCAACAAGAGCTTAAGAGGAAAGAAGCCCTGGAGGGTCTGTGACACTCCTGCTTCTGAGGGAAGGAGTAGTTGGGATGGGACAAATGTCCTTTGCAGGCCTCAGGACTCAGAAGATGAGGCCATTTCAAACCTGTTGACCATCCTCAACTAACAAGCCCAAGCAACCAAGAAGATAGGGGCATGATGGAACTGAGGTCCAGAGTGACTCTGATGAGGTCATTTATTATGGATTCCCTTATTTATTTTTTCATCACATTCTTGCCAGGGGATCTGCCTCAATAAAAGAAAAAGAAAAAGATTCTGTGGGCAATTAATTTTGGCAATTGCTGCATGGTATGATTTCTACCCCTCTTGGAGATTCATAAATGCATCACTGCATTAAAGACTCAGGGAAATCTGAAGTAAAGGAAATAAACATTGATTAACCCACCATGTCCCAAACTGATTTGACTCTTAATAATATCTGGAATTTGTTCTGCAGAATATACTTTGCTAGCTAGCCTGGCCACCCTGGGAAAGTTTTCCTAAGAATAACTTCAATAGAAATATAGGTAGATCTCTTGTGTGTGTGTCTGTGTGTGTGTATGAGAGAGAGAGAGAGACAGACAGAATTTCAAAGACTTGATGACAACACATTTGAGTGCATGAATCCAGCCTTTCGTGATTTCTCAGAGCTTTTGAGCAATTATATCTGATTTTTGCTTAATTTTGTGATTGGCCTTTGAAAATGCCCTAATAAAGTCATTAATTTAACTACAATAAAGACTAAGAAATTAATAGCATTGTCTCAACAAAAGAAAATCTCAAATGACAAATATAAAGAACACATTTAAAATTATTTCTGTTAATTTTCACTTTTTGAAACATACCATACAGTGTAATTCATCAATAACATTGCCTCTGGTTATTTATGTTTAAATAATGACATTTCATTTCAAATGGAACCCAGAAATAAGTTTCACTTTTTGCTGAATGCATCCTTTAAAATAATTGAAATAGTTTTGCATAATGATTGCATTTAGATATTAGTAAGCCGGCACGTTAATGAATGCACTGGAATTTTTTTTATTTTCAAGAAATAAAACATAATTATGATGAATTCAATGCTTATGGTAATGTAGAGGATTGCTAATAACACAGTATGACCATTTAGTATACTTAACTCATAGGCACCTCTATTTCTGGATTTCTTTAGAGAAGTAGAAACTGCCTTTGGACTTGGCATCACGTTGTGACGTGTTTATGGTATGTGTGGGCAGGATGCGTGTGTGTGTGTGAGAGAGAGAGAGAGAGAGAGCGCACGAGAGAGAAAGTTAATATTTGAGTACTAACGAAATAATATTTGAGTCCCTGAATCCAGGTATTTATGAGGGAGCTGGTGAATTGGCTAACAGTAACTCTCAAGTAAATAAAAACATATTTGACCCAAGTAATCTCTCAACGAATGTTATCTTGTATCAGTAGTTTTTAATTTTCACCTTCATTAAGACTCAGCTCTCCAAAGGGTGGTAGCTAACAACTCTTTCTGAGAGCCATTTCAACAGAATCAGGTTGTTGCTAGTCTCATGTCGATAATCCAGTTCTAAGACATGATTTTGGTCATGTAAAGAGCCAAAAGACAAAAAAAATATATATATAGACATCTGATAAGGTAATCCGATTCTCTAGTTGTGAAGCCAGATTTCCTCTTTTCTCAGCAGCCCTATGTTGTCGGTCTGTTTTCAGGAGGGAACAGTGTACCTCTCAAGGTAAATGGTATGCTCAATCTAGGAAAGTAACATCCTGTTTAAAATATATTAAAAAGACTTGGGTTTTCCTTTATTACAGGTTGTAGAATGCTACGCCTTGTTACATCTGCTCTCTAAATCCCAGGGGTTCCGAGGAGCTCAGTGGCAAATGTGCAGCCTTCTCAAAGAATCATTCCCCAGATATTGGCAGAAACCATTTTGGCTTCCTATCCTCCTCAGTGATGTCTTGCTCCTTTGGGATTTATTCCAGCAACCTGTTCAAAAGAAGAGGTTTAGTGGGTATAACACACTGGAATACTGTATGCTACACATCAGAATATTTCAGCTCTGATGTTTTCTGTTTTTTTTTTTTTAAAAAAATATTAGTTTTTACAGCATTCTAGTGCTTTATTTGTTGTGACAAGCTTTTCCTAATAAGACACTGGTTGTTTCATACAAAGTTCACAGTACCTTCTCATTAATTTCTAAAGAACAATTGTTATGACAGTTGAGTAACTTATCTACTTAAAGACGTTTGTGCTGCAACGAAATGGTAGCCTCAAAATCTCCAACATGTACATGATGAAAATGTCCTTTCCTGTACTGGACATTGTTACTGGGTAGTCTACTCTCAAGCTTGAGTTGAAGAAAAAAACCCGTTGGTTTTCTGTTTCCTATTGAGATACATTTAGTCTGCAAAACAGCCGCACCACAATTTTAGACATGTTCTCACAAAATCACACAGGTTTTGTTGCCTCCAACCGTGTAATTTATTGTTCTGTACCGATCAGTTGTTCGTATCTGGGATATTGAGCAGGACATCCTAGTTATCTTTGCAAGGTGGCATATTTGCATGTCTTCAAAGGAGAAAGCGGTGTGTTGACCTTCTGATCCTAGGCTGGGCCCGTGAAAGCAATCTGGGGACAGGAACAGCCAGAACTCTTGGTGACATCCTGAGATATAAGGAAAAGAGCTATGGATTTAAAGAACATAATTTATAGCACATAATTGTGGATTTCAGTCACCACTAAAAATAAATTTCCTAAATAGCAATCAAAATCAGTGTAATTGAGGTGCGGGGAAAAATAGTAGGGGGCAGAAGGGCATCATGGCCATCGGTGCCTGATTCTTTTCTGCACATTTATGGTTATATTGTGAGATATTTTGTAAAATGTCATTTGTAAGAATTCAATTTTCTCCCTTTCTGTATACATATAAACCTGTGGTTTGTGGGAGTGGGTTGAAATAGTTATGTCCAGGAAAAGAATATAAAGAAAGGTAAAAAAAGTGAACATTCCTCCATCTATAGGAGACATGACATTGGTTGGACACTTACACCCTTTAGCAAAAGAAAAAACAGCATTGCTCATTTTTTACCTGATGATTTGCAATTGGACTAAATAATACAAAAGGCAAAGCCTCAAAAATTGTTACCAGGATGAATATTACTTGTGGCAAAGCAAAACACAAGAACCCCACACACTCCGTTGTCTATGATGTGAATATGCATTGCCCAATAATATCAAAGGCAAAATTAGTATTTCAAATTCCATTTAAACAGGTTTTGTTAAACCTCTGAACCAAGAGATTGGTTTACAAACTATGCCTCGAAACAAGGTTTATATAGTGAAATTCAGAATTAAGTGCCCTTAACTCTCAAGGTGGCTTCTGACTTCCTTTCAAGAATCAATACTAAGAAAGGTGTTGGTAGACCAAGGGCATGAACTCCCCAGGAAGCTTCTGAAGGATGTGAAAGAGGATAAATTGCTTCCCTTTCCTGCTGGCTCCAAAGCGCTCTTGTGTTTTCAGCTCTGGAAATGCATATGGAAACAATTGCTCCTGGACAATTTCCTCTTCCCTCAAGGCGGGCTGGGCCTCTCCAAGTCTGTATTGTAAGCCTTGCAGCTTTGCACAGAGGTCAAGGGTCAGAGCAGCCAGACCTGCAGGGACAATGCCCCAACCCTAGCTCTTGCTGTTCAAAGGAAGAAAGCATACACACAGCATTTCTGAGTTCCATTAGTTTCATATATTATCTGATTCCACACCTCATTTTTCCAATGAGAAACCAACAAAATTAAAAATTTTTGCTCAAGGTGAAACTGTGAGTTAGGAAATGAAAGGGACAGGATTAGACCCTGGCTGTCCTTGCTCCAGTTCTGGACAGCTTGTTCTATGTCGGGCCACGTCTGTCTCATAAGTGGCCTTGCAGTCCCCTGAGAACATAGGCCTCCAGTTTTAGAGGGGTGAGTCATGAAACATTTTCATCCAGTCCATTCCATCAGGGTCCTTTTCAAAAGAAGGCAGACCGGATCTTTTATTTGAATTGAAAACTGATGACATGCTTAGCGCTTACACGCATGCTTCTTGGTTAGGGTTTCTCAATGGAGCACACAGTTCTGTGGAGCTGAAAGTATTATTTTAAAATACGTGAACAATATAGCAGGTGTAAAGTCTTCTCCCATTTACCCCTATTTTGTATGCTTTTGAGAGAAAAGTATAATGCTTTTGAGAGAAAAGTAAAGGTGATATTACTGTTCGTTAGAATGAAGCAGCATTGTTCCTTCTTTAAGTTTCAGTATAACTAAATAGCCAAATATCCCAAAAAATGGCTTCATTAAAAAGAATTTTAAAACTGTTACCTTATTCACTGAGGAATCCATTAAGCACTTCCAAATTTATGTGTGATATAATAGAATGTAGCCATTGGCATTCCTATTGATTTTGATTGTGTATTTTGCTTGTTTGTGGAATTGTAGGAGTACCTACATAATTATTTGGAATTCTGCATTTTTTTATTAATTTAATTGTTGATGTGTATGAGTATGGGCTCATATGTATTTTATACTTTGGACTATAATCTAGTACTGCTTTTAAATGTTATTGTTCAAATACTTCCAGCTTTAGCCATTAGAAACTCTTTCAGTTGGCTCCCGTCCCTTTGACATACATCCATCAATGTAATTATTAATGTTTTTGAGCACTTCTCTAACTTCTAGCATTACAAGGTGTCCTGGACTCATCTAGTATATGCTCTTCCCCAGCCATAGAATTATCCATTTCTCTAAGAAGCCTTGGTTCTTATGCTGAAGAATGGTATTAGAAACCAAAATCTGGGCACTAGGTATGTTTATTGCTACTAGGGTGTTTTTGCTTCTAGGTCCTTTTCGTTGGCAGAGAAAGGAAATATATGTGTGCACACTAACCTTTGTATGTACGCATACTTTTAAATACTTTTGTATGTATCTGTATTAAGATAAATATCAGTTCATATCTAATGGGGTACAGGGCATGCTTTCCCAAAATATGATACCTGGGCATGTGAGAAAAACAGCGGAAGCAAGAAAGTCACTCTCACCTTCCCGTCACCCTTCTCCCATGAAGCAGGTTATAAGATCCTTATTCCAGAGGTGCCCTCCATTTATCCAGAGGATAGAAGCATCTTTATCTTTGAAGACAAGGAAACAGAGAAGAATCGGAACAAACTGGTCTTACTAAGCTCCTCTCAGTTTATTACCATTAGATCATACCTCCTCTGTCCAATCATACTTCTTCACAACTGTCTACTTTTTCATCAGACCTACTATTTAAAAAAAATACACATTTAACTGTTTCTTCGGGTCTTCATTTCTGAAATCTCTCATATAACATAATATGTATATAATAAATTGTATGCTTTTCTCTTGTTCATCTGTCCTTTGCTTTTAGGGATTGGGCCATGAACCTAAAGTGGGAAGAAAAAATATTTTCTTTCCCCAACATACTGATGCCTCCAATTCTAATGCATTACCACATGGATCATTCTAGTCTTCTCCTCTTGCACAACTGTAACTTCTTTTTTTTGTTTTTTTTTTTTGTTTTTTTTGAGACAGCGTCTCACCCTGTCGCCCAGGCTGGAGTGCAGTGGCCCGATCATGGCTCACTGCAAGCTCCGCCTCCTGGGTTCACACCATTCTCCTACCTCAGCCTCCCCAGTAGCTGGGACTAAAGGTGTCTGCCACCACGCCCAGCTAATTTTTTGTATTTTTCGTAGAGATGGGGTTTCACCGTGTTAGCCAGGATGGTCTTGATCTCCTGACCTTGTGATCCGCTTGCCTGGGCCTCCCAAAGTGCTGGGCTTACAGGCGCGAACCACCGCGCCCGGCCTCTGTAACTTCTTAGTGCAACAGTGAGACACCTTGTTCCCACCATTTGCCATGCACTTAATTGCTCATTTTCAATATACATAAACAATTTGTACTTCCATGGGAAAAATAACCTTTATCCACTAGAGTACAGTGCTTATGTACCATTCTATTTGTCTTTAGTTTTACAGTTTCTACCCGTTTCTTAAGTTACTCAGAGCATCACCTTTTACCCAATACCCATCAGTGAAGTTATTTCATACATTCATAACACAGATATATATATTGTCACAGTCTGCATCCTCTCCTGGGACTCCTTGACTCCTAAATGGTTTTTTTTAATTTTCATAAATTAAGGTTCACCTTTGGTACTGTAAGGATCTGTAGGTTTTGATGAATGCATAGTGTCATTTCTACCATTATAGTATCATACAGAATAGCTTCACCTTTTAAAAAATCCCCTGTGCTTCTTTATATTTAATCCTACCCCCTTTCCAAACCTCTGGTGACTACTAATCTTTTGACTGTCTCTATAAAGTATATAACTTTTTCAGACTGACTTCTTTTACTTGGTAATATGCATTTAAAATCAAGCCATGTTTTTACATGGCTTGATGGGTCATTTATTTTTACTGCTAAATAGTATTCCATTGTATGGATGTAACATACCTTTTGTTCCACCTTTCGAAGGGTGTATCTACCTTTTGAAGGACGTCTTGGTCACTTTTAATTTGTGGTGATTATAAATAAAAGTGCTACCAATATTTGCATGCAGATTTTTGTGCAGACACAAGTTTTTACATTGGTTGTTGGTTAAATACCTAGGAGCATGATTGCTGGATTACGTAAGTCTATTATACTTAGCTTTGTAAGAAATTGTCAAATTGTCTCTCAAAGTTGTCCTATTATTTTTCATTCCCATCAGCGCAGTGAAAATCCTGTTTTTCTCTATCCCCATCAGCAGTTGGTATGGTCAGTTGTTTGGATTTTAATCATTCTAGTAGGTGTGTAGTGATATCTTGTCGTTTTAACTTCATTGATAACAAAAGGTGAGCATCTTTTCATGTGTTTATTTGCCATCCACATATCTTTTTGGTGAAGTGCCTGTTCAGAAGTTTTGCCCATTTTTTTAATTGAGTTTTTTTAATTGTTTTCTTATTGTTGAGTTTTAAGACTTCTTTGTATATTTTAGATCAAAGTCTTTTATCAGGTATCTGTTTGGCAAATATTTTCTCTCACTTTGTGGCTACAGAAACTGAGGCTAAGAAACTGTGGCTACAGATATACATTCAACTGTATTTCTACATTAATGAAGACCCTAAATTTGCTATTTACAAAAGCTGAAGCAGATAGAGTTGAAGGCTTGAGAAGAGGTTAATTAGACTTGAGAAATTATATATTACCTTTAACTTGCAAGTGGTTATGACTCTTAAAATTATAAACAACATTATTTCCTTTTGATAAATCTCTCAATAGCTGACACTATTTGTTGCTTACCTAGCAGTCATTCTCCTATATTTCTTGCTAACTGCACTTCTGTTTTATTGTATTCAGGTGGCAGTATGCCCACGCCATGAATGTCCAAGCTATTTATGGTAATCCTATCCCCCTGCATCAATGTCCACATGAAAGTAACACCATTCTAGTCAATACTACATAAGTAGAAGTATAGGAGATCACTTTCACGAGGGTTTTCCTCCCTTAAAGAAATGAAGGCCACATGAGAAATGATTTCTTTCAATATCTCCCTCACTTCTGCTTCAGTTGCTCCCGTTTAAAAATGTGAAACCTGGAGTTTTGTCAGCCATCTTTCAACCATGAGGTGACCAGCCTGGAGACAAATGTCAGCATGCTGAGAATGCTGAAATAGAAGAATGAAATGAGATTGGGTCTTTGATGACACTACTGAGCCATGGAACAAATTTTGGAAAGCTTGCCCTTAGATGTCTTGCTTGCTTTAGTGAAAATTCAACATCTATTATTGAGCTACTGCTTTTCGATCTTTACACATATGGCTACATATAGAGTTATATTTGTATGGAACACTGGAGTACACAGGGCAGAATCTTCTCAGACAGAAACAAGTTGCTCAAGGACTTCAGTGGCCTCAGGCACCCCCTCCTGGCCAGTTTTACAGTGCCTATGATTAGCACCTCATCTACCTGCAACCTACTCATGGCACACTGTAGCATACCAGTTAAGAAGTTCTTTTGGTTTCAACACATTCTGTAGAGACTGAACACATCCTAATTAAGTTATATACTGAGTACTGATTTAAACTCATGCAAAATATTTCTTGTCATGGAGGTCAACTAACCCATCTATCAAATAGTGTCTAGTAAGAACAGGCTCACCTTTGCGCTACTCTAACGGCCCAAACATGAGCAGAGCTGAGGAACTTCTTGGTCTTCTGGAATACACCTAGAGAGTTGGGTCATAAAGGGAAAATATATTTTACCTCTGTAGTTTTATTGTGTTTTAAATTTAATTACTTTGACTCTTATAATAGGCTAATATATTTAGAGGACATTATTTTTACAGTAAAAACACCTTTAAAGTGTGTGTCTAAGTTACTATTTGAACATCTGGATCCAATTCATAATATGGAAATCACATCAAACCAACTAAGTAAAAAGAATAACTAAAAACAGGTCATGTAACAAAAAGCTCTGAGAATTCAATGAAACCTCAATGTGTTCTCATGACCATCTTTCTAATATACTAAGAAGGTCTGGAGTTATTCCAGTTGCAGAGTTCCCTAATGATGAACTAAGATGACAGTGTTGTACTTACAATGGGTAATTTTTAAAGGGCTTACAAGGTCTTGTGTTCCAAATAAGGACTGTGTTCCCTAAAGAGGGAACATTTCTAAGCATTTCTTATTCATAATTAAATAGGTTTTCTGGCAGCAGACAATGAAATTCACAGGATTTATATTGACTCCTTCTGTTTGGGAATAAATTGTAGACTCCGGATATCTCTGAATCACATTCTGTCCCTCAGATTTTTATTTATTGCTACAAGAGCTGCTGAAGCATAAATTTCTTGGAAACCAAGTACTTTCTTCAGGGAAAATGAGGCATATATCTGGGCTTTTTGAATAATCGTTTCAGTTTATCTAAAGTGTGCGATCTATATATATGGATACATATACACATTAAATATACATATATTTAGTATGTATTTTAATACACATTTCTATGTATATTTTAATATAAATTTCAATTTTTATTTAATTTAGGTATAATCACTTACCTATTAACTTATTCAGCGAAATTATTTAACTCAGGCACCACCATGCGAAAGAGCATCTGTCACTAGTTAAGCCCTAAGGCTTGGATTTGACTACTAAGATTAACATAAGGTGTTGTTGTTGTTGTTGTTGTTTTTGCAAATATCGAATCATCAGCAAACAACGTTTGCAAAGTATGAAACTGTTTAAATGTTGAAATTGGCATTTTTCCTGGTGTTAGTGATTTGGGGTACAGTGTGTCCCATTCTTAATGTATGGATGGGGTAAAAGCTCGTGAAAGCAAGACGCCTGCAGTCATGCCAGCTGGAAACACAATAGTAGCAAACCCTGAAGCCAGCAACACTGCAAGAACTGCCAGGGGAGCAAAGGCTCATCTTCTGTGGCTTTCTGACCAGTGCCAGTTCTTGTGCATGGGTATTGGCTAATTTCCAGAGCAGGCCACAATATCGACTGGCTTTGTGGTACAAAAAAAGAGCTATTTTTTTTCTTCTACTCTTCATCCATGGAGTAGATCTAGTAGGGACAACTATGCTCAGGTTCTCCTAGACCCCCTGCAGAAGATAACAGCTCAGGGAAGAAGCAATCACATCTAATGGGACAATGTGAGCCCGAGGAATATGGAGACCTTGGATTGTGGGCACTGGTTCTATTCACATTCAGAACAAAATTCAAATACACTTCTGGTTTTTTTTATCTCGCAGATAGGGCTCATTTTAAACTCCAATGGAAAAATGGGAGATGAGAATAAATGATGTTTAAAAATGTGACAGATGCTGTAGTTCAAAGCATCAAAGTCCACATCCATCTGACAGTTGCTCTATTACCTCTTGAAATAGACATCTCTCAGGTGGCTTTACTCAGGGGGACATAAGCATAACTGTTTTACAGAAATAACTCATTATATCTGATGACTCCCCCCTCCAAAGGACCACATTTCCACATTTAAAAAAATTCAGTCTTTCATATAAAACCTAGCAGTTTTCAATTGAGTTTTGAAGATAATTTACCTAATCCTCTCTTCCTAAGGCAAGGATTTAAGAAACCTAAAAAGAAACTGTCAGTGAAATATGACAGAAAAATACAAGGTTCAAACAAACAATGGGTAGAATGTTTTAAAAGGGTAGTCAAATGCATTATAATATGATAATATAAAAAAGGAATAAAAAGTTTCCCCTGGAATGGGCAATTAGGAGGAATTTTTATATTTTTAAAGGCAGAAAGCTGGAAAACCCAATTTAAAAGTAAAATGTAAGGAAGAAATAGTGAGACACCAACTTTTTGAGAATTTAGATGAACAGATGAAGGAGATGGTAGTATATTGATGAAGAATACACATATGCAGCCAAAAGATTTTTTTTAGAATGAAAGAATCTTGAGCGCTTTATGAGGACAAACAAAGGTACAAGTAGAAGTGGAAAGGAGCAACAGAGAATACTTGGTGGCATAAGATTCCTGAAGAGATGGGAATGGATGTTATTGAGGGCAAAGATGGAGGGGTTGGCTTTGGCAAGGAGAAGGTTAGCCATTTCCTAGTCTGGAGGAAGGGATCGGGATGAGAGAGGAAGTTGGGTTTGGTGAGGATTAAGGTAAGGAGACAGACAGAAGGTAAATAGAGGTCACATTTGGTGGCTTAGTTTTCCTCATATTAAAGGTATCTTGGGTGAAATTTTTCTTAAAAGGTGATAAAAGTCTTTGGGGGAAATCTTTCCTGAAGTCAAGTCCTTGTGCTTCAAATGATTCAGAGTGTGGCACATGAGACAAAATGATATTCACGGAGAACTGTGTATAATATCTGTAAGTCCAAACGCAACAGCTTCAAGAAAACTTCCATGCTGAAAAATTATATGCAGACCTATAACGTGGGCATTGTGAAGAGATCCCTTTAATATGTAACTTTTACACGTTACCAATTTGTTTTATTCTCTAAGTCCAGGAAGCGTTCTCTCAGTGCAACACTTCAGCCCATTCAGCACTCATAGAGGACTTCCCATGATGCTCAGATGCATCTTGTGGCAGCTTATCAGCCCACGCCCTCAGTATTCTTGTCAAGTGCACTTTAGCATTCCAAGAAATTTATTCTATAGTCAAGAAGCAGCTAGAGATTTTTCTTCTACTTGGTACTTTTCTGTTTCCTTTTTGACTTTGACCTATGTTCTTTTATCAGGAACGTTATAAATATATAATTTTCCTATAAGTCTGTAAGTGGGTCCTGAATTATAGGCTTATCAATCCTCTTTTATATGTCTCAGGGAAAAACTAGAATTCAGTCTGAAAACATTGCCCTTGGATGTTCTAGTACAATTATGACCTTGGAGAAAATACAGTAGCTTTTCCCTAGGAATTGTATCTGACTGCCACTGATATCGTATAGATATTTTATATGAGAAAGAATAGAGGGTCACTTGAAACTTCATAAAGTACGTCCTAATAGTCACTTAAATGCAGGACTAGAAGATGACTGGGTTAGTAACCCACTTAGGCCGAGTGATAATAGATTTTCAAAGCTGAAAATGGAGAAAATATCAGGCTTGAAATATTGGTCAGAGGCTAACAGGCGGAAAGAATAATATAGTCATGTTGATTTTTATGATTGAGATAATTTATAATAAAAAGAATATAAAAATTGAATGTTCCTTTTACATTAAAAAATATTTTAAAATGAGATCTTCTCATTTCATGTAAAACATTTTTTGATTAGGACACTACAGCAATGCTCTGACAGGCATAAGCTGTGTTAACAGGGAGCATAGGGCAAGCAGAGAGAGGGCAGGAACCCAGCAACTGCTATGAGGTCGATCCCGGCAATGATGGTGGAAGGACCGGATCATTTTCATCAAGTAATAGAGAATACATTGAATCCAGCTGGCCTGACTTAGCTGTTGAATTTGTTAGTCTACAATATTAAAACAATATATATTTTTGTATTAAGACTGACTAAATTTTTATACATTAAAGCAAAATTAAGCTTTTGTTGTTATTTCCAAAAGACCTTTATTTGTCAATTTGTCCATTTGCTTAGCAAATGATTTCCTTCTTATTGTTCATATAGCTATTTTCTCGTTTCAGAAATGTTGTCCCATTTTGGGTTATAGGTCGAAGGTCTTGTCTAAAAATGTTGAAATGTACTATTCGCGAACAGAAAACTGAAAGTAGGGTATTTTTCACTTCTCTATGTTTTTAATATTTGCAGAAAGTTTATGTTTAGTTTTCATTTTACAGCCTTATTTTTGTACTTTCTTTGTTGTTGTTGTTTAGGGATTAAGTGTTATTTAAAATGCAATCACCTTCTAAGTTCCTAAACTCAGTGTTAAAACTTTTAGTTTACAATTTTTGGCTTTAAAACTAAAACTTAGTTTTAAATTTCCCATATGAATCTCTATAATTTATTGTCAAATTTTAGAATTGTCTTTATCACTGTTAACTTTTTTCATGACAAAAAGCAAGAATATATTTAGGGATTCCAGGGTTGCTATTTTTAATCACTGAAAATGATCTTTTACTTACTAATAAAGAAATAAGCTATTGGAGATAAGAAAGGACACAGAATAATACAGAATTTATTTTCTAGAACGTGTTCTCTTGCATCAGTGGTGCAAGTGGCTTCACAAATTAAATTGGAATGGAACCAACAACTTTTTCATGGTTCACTGAAAGGCCCTATAAAGAAACTCTAATCCACTAAGAAGCAGTGTTTAATGCATCAAAGTGTGTCATATCCCACCATTTAGCATTGTAGTTACACACAACTCTGTGGTATAACTCTGTGCATCCAGCCAAGGGACTCATAAGACATTGTGCCAGTTTAGTTGGGGTGGTAGGATGCTTTGAGATGAAACTGTTTATAACCTTTTCTTCAAATACCCTAGACATTAGATTGTAGAAGGCTGGAAAGTTTAAGTCTGTTCTAGTTCTCAGACATTTAACATGAAAGACAGTCATAGAGCTCATTTGTCCACTGATGTCTTACAGATGTTGTGGTTTTGGTTTTTTGTTGACTGATGAGTTAATTGTTGTTTACATAAAAACTCTCACTGCCCTGGATGCTAGAGTCACATCCACCTTTCAGTCAGTGTTGCAAAGAATAATACCAAGCCAAAAATATTTTTATCTTTTGAAGAAAAGGACCCCACATTTTACTGTGAAATAAAATACACATAAAGTACACAAAATAAAAGATGTACAGCTCATTGGATTATTATAAAGCAAACACTCATGCTAGTGAATTGACTTCTAGAACACCATTTTCTCCATGTGTTCTTTTCCCAGCCGAATGTCCTTCTCTTCAAAGATAAATGCTGTCCTGCCTTTAATAGTATACCTTCCCTTGCTTTGCTTCATTGAAGATACCTCATAAATAGGAATTCTCAAGGACTATAGTTTAATCTGCTTTTATTCAAAGAATCAGACAGCATGTGTTTAATTTCTGACTTCTTTTACTGATTGTTGTGATTGCAAGATGCCTCCTTGTTTGTAGCTGCAGTTCATTACCTTTCATTCTTGTATAGTATTCCAGTATATTCAAATTTATTAAATCCACTGTTGATGGGCTTGTAGGTTAATTCCAGTTTTGGACTATTATGAATTTTTACTGTTATGAGTAACTTTGTATTTACTATGATATTCTTATAAGCATTTGGTACACATGTGTTGTTTTATGTATGAGTGGAACTGCTGGGCCATAGAAAATACATATGCTCAATTTTAGAACTTTTCCTAGGTGGCTGTGGCAATTTACCCTGCCAATAGGATTGTATTGAAGTTCCTTTTGGCTTTATGTCTTCATCAACTCTTAGAATTGTCAGTTCTTTTAATTTTATTGATCCTGGTTGGATTCTCATTGGGAATGTAAGTTGCATTAATTTTAAATAGTTAGTGACCCTTTGGATACCCATTTTAACTGGTTGTTCAAGTCTTTTGCCAATTCCCCTTGGGAGTTATTCTTTTCTTGCTGATTTTGAGGAGTCTCCTATTATTCCTGCTATAACTGCCCTATCAGTTGTACTTGTGTATATCCTTCCCCAGTCTATGGCTTACTTTTTCACTGTCATAATAGTATCTTTTGAAGAAAGAGCAGTTTTTATTTATTACTCAAAACTATCAACCTCTTACTCAATATATTTGACAACTTTATTGAATAATTTTTAACACCTCTCCCTTCCTCTATAAATTATTTTCATTAAGTATCAAGAATTCAAATGAACTAATGCTTGCCAGGAAAGAAATGATGGAAGGCAGTGAAAATTTTATTGAACTTTGATATATAATTATATAGTAAAAATGAAAGTAAAATAAAAAGTAAGCATAAAAATATTACTATTCAAAAGGAAAATTAATATATAAATATTTTCAACTATATTATTTTATTTGGGGGATTATTTGTGTTGCTGTTGTTGCATTCTGCTGAGTCAATATTATTTTATCATAATGTCAGTATCTTACTTGAAATTCCTTTACAAAATTTCCTTACAAATTTCTTTACATATTTACTGGTTTTTCGACAAAAGTATAAATAATTTCAGGGCAAAAAGCCCACACAACTATTTATTCCACAGCTTTCCTCTCTACCTATTGAAACTTTGGTTTGTATGTTTTTTGTCACACAGCTATAATAATGTTCTGAGTAAATAATTGTATAGCAACTGAGTGAATTTTCATAAACCTGAAAAATAAAAAGATAAAATGTTATGTCAGCAACATGATTTAGTTGTAACTATAATTGCAACTATAGGTATTTTTTTTTAAAAAAAGTTACTGGATAGTTACTACTAAAAATCATTTACATAGAATATTATTATATGAGACTGTAATTAAGGGATCAAACCCAATTTCAAACTATTGGGTTTTAAAATACATAATAATTTAAAAGAATATATTTCAATTTGCATATGATTTTTTAAAAATCTAAGTTATAGTACTGCTTGTTAATATCAATTATGGTTCCTTTAATCAACACAAAATCCCTATGAGCTATCATTATCTAACTTTCAGATGAGGGATCAGGGTCTAGAGAATGTAAATAAACTGCTGAAGACCACACAGTTTATACGAAACAGAGCAATTATTAAAACATAGATCTTTTTAAATCTAAAATTCATGCTGCATTTACTATTATGTTCTGTAGAACTACCTGTTTTGTGTCAAATGGAAGCACTATAACCAAAAACAATGTGAAAGGAAAAATATTCTAAGGATACTCAGAGGTCCAATATTAAGAAATGTCTGAATTGTTATAGAATGCTGGGAAAAAGCAAGGATATAGCATGACAGACTCCCTTGCCATGCAATACTGAGACCATCCAGATGCAAAACCAATTAGAAAAGGCCAGAGAAAGAGCAAAAGAAAGAGCAATATTGTGAACATTGTTTTGTGAGTAACATAAACACAGGGTCTGTTTGCTATCATCTTTGATAATTTCTGAAATAGGCTGCGTGATGATAGATTATATGCGGGTACTGAAGTGCTTTTTAAGGTACAATAGTGCCTGTGAATAAGGAGCGTGACCCACATAGATGTATTCCCAGAAAATCTAATCCATGAAAATCTGACTTTTCCACAGATGAAATAAAAAGTGATGACTCATATTATAAAAAAGATTCTTACTAAGAAAAATAATTCTTCAGGATTCCTTTAAATCCAAGCTCTTCTTATGCTTTTAGAAAACAATTCCATCTGCAATAGTTGGATTTATACAAGATTTCTCAGGAATATATATGCTGCACAAAGTACTATAAGCAACATGTAAACTTGAATGAATGTACTATTTAGAGAAGATTCAAGAACAAATAACCTGGAATAACAAAATCATATGCACAACCCAACTAATTCAAATATTTGTTTAATTTTAATTATTTATGATGCAGAATAAGGACAAATATATTATTGTAATCAAGATTTATAAGCTGAAGTGCATACTCAGCAATCTGAAATTCGAGTTTTGGCTCATTCAGACATGAAAATCCATGTCAGAGTTGGTTTATAAAGAAAACGTGTCCACCACTGTAACAAATACTTGTGTCAAAAGCATCAGCTTAAGGACGTGACCTAAATTGAATGAGTTAAGGCTGTATTTTCATGTCAGAATCTCATTGCTTGAGCAGTCTGAATACGTCATAATGACTTAAAGCAAGAGGAAAGGATTTCTGCAATTCCTCAGAACTAAGAATGCGGTGATTCATATTCTATTATGAGCTGAGACACAGTCAGGTGCATGCATTAACATGTTATTAAACATTCACAGATGAATTAAATTTACAAAGTTTAAAGTGAATAAATCAGCACATTTGTATTTGCCAGACAACAGCAACTGTATAAAGGCAAGTAATAATATCTTAATAATACAGTAATAGCAATAATCTGGAGAAATACTTTTTCATTTAAGGAAATTAAATGCATTTTAAAGAAAATTAAGGATGTTTCTCATCATTGAATATGACTTAATCTCTCTTTGCTCTTGTATATAGGCATTTCCGAAACAAATGAATTATTGTATATTCATGCAAAAATCCCTTCCTGTAAGAAGAGCTTGCTGTTCTTGGAATAGATGGCTCCTTGTTGTCCCAATACCAGTTCAAATGCCACCTCCTCAGAGCAGTTATCTATAATCCCTTGTCTAAAGCAGTCTTTCCTTTCCATTGTTCTCAGTAACAATCTATCACATGATCTTTTATTGTATGTAGCACTCATCCCTATCTGGAATTATTTTTTGATGTATTAGCTTATTTGTCTCCTTTTTAGTCTTCCTCCCTCTGAATAGAAGCTTCATGGGAGAGAAAGAACCTTATACATATTCCTACAAGCACAAAATCCCCAGCCTTTAGAAGAGCTGGCACACAGCAGAGGTGCTCAGTTAACACGTGTTGAGTGCATGAATGAATACAGAAAGGGGTTTTAGCTGGCATTTTAACTGGTTAAATATTTTGATGTTATATAATTAACATATCCCTGGAATATAGCTATGGCTAAATATAATGATCAAACATTAAAACAGTCTTGGTAATTAGAATAGTCTTTCATCCAATTTTTTATTTTAAACATAGTTATTGCCTTTGTGGAAGTTGCATTTTACATGGGAAGAGAGTGTTAAATAGGTGTCATGTAAGAAAAAGTTCAAAATATAAGGGAAGAGTGTAAAAGATGAAATTGATTCTGCAGTGTGTTCAAAAAGAACTCTAGAAAGAAATGCTTTTTAAGCTAAGACTAGGGTAACCACACAAGTTATTGTCCAAATAGAGACCCATTTGAGGGCAAACAGTGGTACTAAACATAATTAACTTACATGACTGATAATTTTACTTTTTTATACAGATGGATTTATAAAATAGTTCTCTAACACACTGGTTTTAAAAAATAAATCTGGTCTGGCATAGTGGCTCATGCCTGTAATCCTGGAACTTTGGAAGGCTAAGGCAGGAGGATCACTTGGGCCCAGGAGTTCAAGATCAGCCTAGGCAACACAGTGAGACCTCATTTCTACAAAAAAAATTTTAAAAACAAAAACCACAGTTAACTGAACGTGTTGATGTACACCTGCAGTCCCAGCTACTTGGGAGGGTGAGGTGGGAGGATCACCTGAGCCCAGGAGGTCGAGGCTCCAGTGAGCTGAGATCATGCCACTGCACTCCAGCCTGGGCATCAGAGCAAGACCCTGTCTCAAAATAAATAGATAAATAAATAAAATAAATAAATAAATAAATAAATAAATAAATAAAGTTTTTATTTAAAATGGACAAAAAGAGACATAACATGGGTGGTAGGCTGCCTTTGAGCTAGCCTTCAGTCTTCCTGGTATCCACATTCTGTGAAGTCCCTCCCCACATTGAATCAGGGTTGGTTGTCAGGATTACAGAACATGGCAGAAGTGGCAGTGTGAGATTTTCAAGTAGATAATAAAAGGCATTGCCACTTCTGTATTGCTCTCTTGGATTGTTCACTCTGAAGGAAGCCAGTGGCCAACTCAATCAGTCTGAGAAGAGGCCTGTGTGGGGAGGAACTGTGGCCTTCTGCCAGCCACCAGCACCAACCTGCCAATCATGTGAATGAGCCACTTTGGAAGTGGATCCTCCAGCCGCAGACAAGCCTTCAGATGATTGCGGCTCTATCAGTACCTTGGCTGGGATCTCAAGAGAGACTCAGACAAACTGCTTCCAAATTTTTAACATACAGTAACTACATACAATACCTGTTTATTGTTTTAAGTCACCAAGTTTTAGAGTTACCTGTTATGCCGTAATAGATTTTAACAATTATTACAACAAATAATTCAATATGTGATCCTAGATCCTAGACTAGATTCTTAATCCTGCCCTGGAAGAAAAAACAATGCTATAAAGAATATCATTGGGTCAATTGACAAAATTATTATATGGTGGTTAGATAAGAAAAAGGTATCATATGTGTATTGAATTTACTGGTAGTGATAACTGTACTATGGTTTTGTAAAAAGGTATTTCTTACTCTTAGGCAATACATGATTAAGTATTTAGAAATAAAAGGCAAAATTTATGACACATACACTTTCAAAAATTTTAGAAGCAGACAGAAGAGAGAGATAAGGACAGAAAAAGAGAAGGGATTAGAGAGTATGCAAATGACTAAAGCAAATGGAAAATATATTAACAATAAATGAATGTGGTTGAAGAGTATATGGCTATTCTGTGTGCAATTTTTTTTTCTTTTTTGAGACAAAGTCTTGCTCTGTCACCCAGGCCAGAGTGCAATGGCGTGGTCTCGGTTCACAGCAACCTCCACCTCGTGGGTTCAAGTGATTCTCCTGTCTCAGCCTCCCCAGTAGCTGGGATTACAGGGGTGCACCACCATGCCCTGCTAATTTTTGTATTTTTAGTAGAGACGGCGTTTCACTATGTTGGCCAGGCTGGTCTCAAACTCCTGACCGCAGGTGATCCACCCGCCTCGACCTCCCAAAGTGCTGGGATTATAGGTGTTAGCCACCATGCCCGGCCTCTGTGTGCAATTTTTATTCTTTCAAGTCTTCTATATATTTGACATTATTTCCTAATAAAAAGTTTAAAAATGTTTTCCAAACAATGGAAATATATAACTTGGTACCTTAAAGCAAAATTTGAAATCTTTAAATTAATCATATGAATATTAAAAGTAACATAAGCAATTAAATACTTGATATATATTTGTATATTTTAATCAATTTCTTAGCTATAATTGTATCTAATACCACAACATTAGTATTTTTCTAAGGAATATATTTTTACTATGATCTATTATTCTTAATTATTTTCACAAAATTGCTGGTAATCCTTAAAAAGTTGTATTTTGTTGCTGATTAATACCGTCAACTGAACTATCTCTGTAAAGCATAATGATATTTTAAATTCAGAAATTCTCTCTGTTGTTTCTGAGGTACCTGGTAAAGTCAGAGGTGATTCTGCTAAATAATGGATAGGCTTATTTGTAATGTTTTGTATTAAATAATGTAAATATTTCAGCCCCAACAATTTGGTACCATCTTTTTGCCTCCTTTTGAGTAGCTTTCTTGATAATATTTTCCATGAGGCAAAAGACATCAAGTAAGTTTCATTAATTTGTGAATTTTTAATGCTTATCCAAATTTAGATGCTCAAAATCATGAGTCTTATCAATTACATTGTATTCTGGGATGGAATATAAATTTATACAATTAAAAATGGCTCCATCAAAAGTACCTTGAGATATTTCAAAAGTGAAATATTTAGTTTTGAAATGAAATTTTGCAAAGAAGTATGAGGGAAGCCTATGGGGTATTATAATATTCTGTATTTTGATCAAGATAATAATTACATAGGTATTAATGTGTGTATATATATGCATACATAAAAATCAAGCTATAACATAATCATCAAACAATAAAAATATATCCAACTATACCCTTATGGTCATTTTACACACTTTACTGTATGTATATTATACCTGGAAAAAAAAGTTAAATCTTGTATACCAGCAGAATTCTCATTATTTAATTTGTTCAATTCCTTTCTTGTTTTTGTGAAGATAAATATTGATATCTTTCTGGTTGTAAGATTTGGTTGTAATCATCACTGCAATTTTTAAAAGCTTCAAAACTGAAATTTTGGGCATATCCTTGGTTAAACACTTCAATTAAAAATATTCAACTGATTTTAAACAAATGCAACCAAAATTTGAAGGCTGATTTAATTTACAAAAAGATTCATTACTATTGTAGGACACAGGTTGACTTAAAGTAATTAATCAAAGGTGAAAACGTTTCTAAAATCCAAAGAATGGCAAGCAGCAACATGGGAAAGTATATACAGCTCTGGTGGAGCTTTTTCTGTTTAACTCAACATCTGCTCCATCAACACAATTTTATCATTTAGTTAGATTGTTTGTGTGTATATATAACGATATTGTAAAATCTGACATCTACAGGTTCTATTTTGATTACTAGATATTGCTATTTGTTTGAACGTAATTATTACTTATGTGTACACCACAGAAGACAGAGGAAAATTTCTGCACCATAAGTTCCTTAATTTACTAAGAATATTGTCTTTATCAACATGCTATGCTCTACCACACACGTATTTTGTTCCTATTATCACCACAAAACAAATAACTTTTTGCTCAATTTTTAACTTAATCAAGTTTACAATAACATTCACAATGAGATAATATGTTTCACTTTCAGCAGAATGAACTTCTTAAAGCTTCTCTTTGATTTCATGAATTGTATGAAAAGAAAATCTATTATTGGAATTCACTTATTTTCTACCTGAAGCATTTAATGACCCTAATGTTATCCTGACATCATTTAACTGTCTGTGATTTTTTTTTCTCATAAAGCCACCACATTAACTACCATCACTTTAGGTTTCAAATATGTTAAAGAAAACTTGGAATCGACATAAACACTGCTAATTTAAAATAACAGGTAACTTGATCTAGATAAAAAGATGTGTTTCATGGATTGATATATAAAGACACCTTCTGTAGTTGCTTGTGTACCATCCATCATAGTGAATAGTAAATGTCAACAGTGTTTGCAAGTTACACATTCATCATCAACTATCTTGAGAGGTGAAAATTCAGTATTTAATTTTTCATTAAATATGCACTCCCATTGCTGCTGAAATAATTTATTGCAAAATAAAAACGCATTATAAGAAATAAAAAATAGTAACTTATTATTTATAACCAATAAAGGACAAAACAATTCTAGCAAGAACTTCCAGATTCTTCCATGTAAGTGCCATGGCCATACTATTGATCCTCTATTTCCTTCATGTCTTGGTCTTCTCAGGCTGCCAAAACAAAATACCATAAACGGTAACTTAACAGAAATTATTTATTTCAGAGTTCTGGAATCTGGAAGTCTGAGATCAGGGTGCTAGCATAGTCAGGTTCTGGTGTAAGCTCTTTTTCTGGCTTATAAATAGCCACCTTTTACTGCAAAGAAAGAGGGAAAGGGGAGGGAAGGAGGGAGGGAGGCGGAGAGAGAGAAAGAGGGAGAGAGATGTTTTTCTCTTCTTCTAAAGTCACAGTTCTATTGATTAGGGCTTTCCCCTTATGATCTCATTTAACCTTAATTATTTTCTAAATACTTGTCTTTATCTGTATCTCCAGATATAGTCACGTCGGAGGTTAAGGTTTCAACATAGGAATTTGGTAGGGGGAAGGGGAGCATCCCTGACTACCCAAAACTTATGTCCTCATGATGGCAAAATACATTAATTCCATCCCAACAGTCCCCCAAGTTTTAACCCATTCCATCATTCCATCATCAACGCTGATGTCTAAAGTCTCATCTAAATATTTTCTAAATCAGACATGGAAGAGGCTAGAGCTTTGATTCATCTGATGCAAAATTCCTCTCTAGCTGTGAACCTGTGTAACCAGGTGTGACAGGCATAGATAGGATAGCCACTCTCATTCCAAAAAAGGAGAATTAAGAAGGAAGGAAGGGTGATGGGTCCCAAGCAAGTCCAAAACCTAGCAAAGTAAATTCCATTACATCTTAAGGCTTTGAAATAATCCTCTGTGGTTCAGTGATCTGCCCTTCAGGCACACTAAGGTAGCAACCTCATCCCCATTGCTCTACAGGATAGAAGCATCCCCTTGGCTGTCTATGAGGGTCCCACCCACACAGCTGTCTGCAAGGTCCCACCTCCTCCCTAAGAAAGGCCTGCCTACACAGCCCTCCATGAGGGCATACCAATCTCTGAGGCACTAGCAGCATTTTCCTAGCCTGCTAAAACCAGATTGATGACTCTACCTATTAAAACAGAGTAGGAAATAGCTTTGTCCTCTGGGTCTGTGGTGGGCTTGGTAGCTCTGATGATCTCTGACTTGCCTTCAGGGTCAGTCTTCGATTTCTTGCATAGCTCTATCATCTGGTCCTGTAGAATCCAAATAGTCTGACAGTGTTCCTTCATTCATCCTTCCTTCTCTGTTCTCTTTAGTCCAAACTGGCAGTATTTTGCTGGCATAATCCCCTCTGTATCCCTGGATTCTTAAGTTAAGTCCATGAATAGCACTCTGGATCTCTTTATGAAATGGTTGTTCAGCCACACCCTGAGTATTCTTTTCAAAACAAACTTTCTCATTGTTTGCAATATGGATAGGCTTCTAATAAATTGGCAGTAAAAAAAATAGTAATGGCTGATTTATTATTTGTAACCAATTCTTATTTTTCAGTCCTTCAAATTCTGATTATTTTTGATAATCCCTTCTTTAATTCATCTTTCTCCTTTTTGTATTTTCCTATAAGTAATCAGGAGGAACCAAGTTCCTCCTTCAATACTTTGTTTAGAAATCTCCTCTACTAATTTCATCAATTTCATCCAATTTTATCACTTGCACAAAACACTCCAACACCATTTGGCTAAGTTATGTGCTACTTTATCACTGGATTATCTTGTCTCCAATTTTCAACATGTGTCTCATTTCTATCTGAGACCTTGTCATAATCATTCTTGATATCCATATTTCTTGGATGCATCTCAAACTCTTTAGCCTTTACTTATTATCCAGTTCCAAAGACACCCCCACATGTTTAGGTATATATTGCAGCAGCATCCTAATTTACAGTACCAAAATCTATTTAGTAAGAGCTCTCAAAAGGAACAGAGCAAAATATGTGTGTGTGTAAGGATTTGGCTCATGTGATTATAGATGCTGAAAAGATCTGTAGTTGGTAGACCAAGGAAAGCCAATAATATAGTTCCAGTCCATATATAAAGGCCAGAGAACCCGGAAAGCCAGTGGTATAAGTTCCACCCTGGAAGCCTGACACCCAAGTAGAGCCAAAGTTTTAGTTTAAATTTGAAGGCATGAAGAAAAAAAATTTCCCAGCTCAGACAGTCAGGCAGGAGGAGTTCCCTGTTATTCAGCCTTCTTTTTTTTTTCTATTTAGTTCTTCAATTGATTGCATAAAGGCCACTTACATTAGGGAAGGCAATCTGCTTTACTCAGTATACTAATTCGAATGTTAATCTCATTCAGAAATACCCTCACAGACACACCCAGAACAATGTTTAGCCATGGCTGGATGCCCCACGGCCCCATAGCCAAGTCAAGTTGACAGACAAAATTAACCCTTACACTGCATATATTTTGCATACACCTAGCTTGTAATTTCCCATGAATCCAATACTTGGTGGCTTGCCAACTTCATGAATCCACTAGCCTTAACATGTTCTAGGTTCAAATATTAAGTATTCCCCAAGCCTAGCTGATACTTAACCTTTAGTTCCTCATATGTAATTATTCTCTCACCACAAGGATTTTACACATGACGGTCTTTCTGTCTGAAAACACTCTTTTGTATGCACTTTGCTTTTATTATTTTAATCATGTATATTAAAAAACAAGTGCACGAGACAAACCAAAAATGAAAGTAGAGACCACCATATCATGGAATATCTCATGTATCATGTTGAAGATTTTCAGATTCTTAAGGATATTGGGACGTCACTGAAAGAGTTTAAGAATGGGAGGTACATCATCAGATTTGACATTTTAAAGTTCCATCTAGTACTATTGTGAAAAATATATTAGAGGGAAGTAAAAGATGTGGAGGGACTGTGAAAAGCTCAGGTGGCCCAGGCAGGAGGATGCATTAACTTCTACCAACATGATAGAGGTGGGGAGGGAAAGAAATTGATTTGAAAGATATCTACCTGTGGACTTGATCGAACTTATTGGGTCCTCAGGAGGGGAGTGTGGGCTGTGTGTGTGTGTTTGTGTATGTGTGTGTGTATTTAGTCTGTGTATGTGTGTGTATACATATATATTTGGTGTGTGTATATATACATATATTTAGTTTTATATATATATATATTTAGTGCATGTATATATATATACACACAGCCTATATATATACACACACAGCCTATATATATATATATATATATACACACACACACAGCCTATATGTATACACACACACACACACACACACACACACACATATATAAAGTTTGGATAGAGAAGGATGTGTCAGCTAAGGAGACTATGAAGGAGCAGATAACGGCAAGAGGACAAGCAGAAGAATGTAGTATTCTGGAAGAGAAAGGATGTGAAGATTTCAGATGGGAAGGCTCAAATGGAGGGAAAATTGCTAGAAGTCAAGCAAGTAGGGAGCAGTGAGTGATATAAATGTCACTAGTCATTTTAACAAGATTTTTGATGCAGTGATAGGGGCAAAATTCATATTGGAGTAGATGGGGGAAAGAAAGAGAGATAAAAATAGCAAATGGAAAAAAAATTTAAGTTTGTTTGGAAAGAGTGAAGTAACTGAAAAAGAGTTGGAGATATGATTATTATTTTGAATTGAAATTTATACATACAAATAGACACTGACATTTTCCCACCACCATTCCCCAGATTACATATGCTGATTATAATTTAGAAAAGAAAACACAAATTGCTAATAATATGTCCTCTTAACATTGCTTATTTAAGTGATATCATTCATAGAAATATTCCAGAGGATTTTAAGATGAAAGGGAAACAATGCACTGATTTCTTAAATTGGAAAGTAGTGACATTAACTCACAGTATATCTTAAGTAACTTTTTAAAGCTAAATGAACCCTTGCTGAGTATAGCCATATGGTATACGTTTTGGGCTATGGGAATTAGGGTGAGAGGTCTTTAGGATTCCCTCACCTCACACAGAGGTGAGTAGCTCAAAACGAGAGCCTGGACATCTTCACACATCTGGAGTTGGTAAATGTTTTAAATTCTCAGTTTCCTAGTGTTTTGCTAATTTATAGTCACAATGAATTATTGTATCAGATCCCCTTGATGCCAATTTGTTCTTTGGGTCTGACACCACTTCTATTGTTTATTGATCTATTTTTGTCCTTACTGTTCTAGTTGGGGAATGCTGAACTATCACTCTTAATATATAAATGTAGAGACTATTACATGTGCAATTTATTGATAAGTTTAGGTTAAGTATAGGTCGCACAGTGGCTCCCAAAGGGCTAAACCAGAGCAGATAAACAGCTATAGTAAGTCAAATTAATTAAATTAAATTAACTAAATCTCATTGATCAAGAGAGACTGCCATTTTTTTTGTTATAATAACTTAACCACTGAAGTAGTTGTTTTCATTTGAATGATAATTAGTGTTGCATTAGCAACAATGGGTATGGATTTTGGGTTTCAAAATGCAAAAACATTTTCCCCATGAAAACAAATATTCATTATACTTGGGCATTAAAGGAATTCAGTCTTTAACTATCCTTTTCCATAAACAAATTCACTGTGTAGGCAAGGAAAAACTGTTCTAAGTTACTATTTAGAGGAAATAAGAATTTATATCAGGATCAGGTATTTTTTAAAGTGAAATATTCCTTTTATTATGGAATATATGGAGGTCAATAAATAATGTGTTCTAGTGCAGAAACAATAACAAACTGCTTCTTACAAGAAACTGCTCATTTTGTAATGAAGAACGTTTTTTATATGGATGTGTACCATTTGGTGGAATATACTCTCTCTAGAGCATTAAATGTTCTTTGGACAAATAAGGGTAGTCATTCAGCGAATGTTACAGAAATCTTTCAAGAGTCCTGTTGAACGTTTCAAAACTTTATGTTTCACTCATCCTAAATTTAGTGGAACTTGAGGACAGTTGATATTTGGATCCAGGTGATAAACTTCTTGAATTTTTATTAGAAACCTAATAATAAAAGGCCAGTTAACAATTTTGTAATACAGCTCTTTGGGATTTTTTGGCTTTCTGCCATTCAACAGCCACAATATTTAAATTCTGGCTCAGACATGCACTTAAGTATTCATTAGGAACAAATCGATAAAACATTTACTGCCAGGTTGTATTAAATAGTAGAAAATTGCTACAAATGAGTACATTCTACAACATTCTTCTCTTCAGTATTCTAGAAATGTACCACCAAGATCAGAACTCTAATTGATATTTTGTGTTAGAGAAATAAGTTAATATTAGTGTTAATTTGTAGGTAAAATTACTATCTTCCATTTAGAAATAGTTTACTTCAGGCTTTATAATGATTTCTAATATTTTTTCCCCAGTAACAAAATAGACCAAAAATGGAGATGCTCTGTTAATTATCTCATTTTACAATAAATTTACTTTTAATTATTTCATAGTTCCCATTTAAAAGGTAAGGCTTTAATTTATTATAGTTTTAAAATTAATGTATGTGTATATATTTAAGTGTATGTGTATACAAACAACCTTTCATCTCCACAAACCTTAAAGTCTTTTATAGGCTGGGCATGGTGACTCACACCTATAATCCTAGCACTTTGGGAGGCAGAGGCGAAAAGCTCTCTTGCGCCCAGGATTTTGAAACCAGCCTGGGTGACATAGCGAGACCCCATCTCTACAAAAAATGTAAAAACTAGCAAATCGTGGTAGTGCATGCCTGTAGTCCCAGCTACTCAGGAGGCTGAAGCAGGAGGCTCACTTGAGCCTGGGAGGTTGAGACTGCAGTGGGCCAAGATCGCAACACTGCACTTCAGCCTAGGTGACAAGGTGAGACAGTGTCTTACAAAAATTAAATATAAGTATTTTATAAACCTTACATTAAGGACTGTTTCTTATTTCAGACGTTAAACTCGGATAATCCCTCTTCCAAGTTAATATAATGAGTGGTCGGTTGTGGAAGGACAGTGCGTTCCCTGAAGTGACTTTCTCGGTAAACAGCCTTCCTTCCTCTGACTCGTCACCCTTACCCCCCTCACCCCTGCAAGTGAGCCCAAATAGTTCATTCCCAAATCCAAAGCTTTACTCGGCCATCCAATTCAGGTCAATCACATCTCATGAAGATGCCCTTGGGTGTCTGTACCACTGAGGTGACAAAGGAGGGTCTATGTGCCATGAAGAGGGAGCAGTTTAATGGGTCAGAATCTCTCTCTGATACCTACAACACCACTGTTTACAATTTGTCCCTAATGGTGACCACAATACTCAAGAGTAATCTATCTATCAACTGCAATTTTTTCTAAGGAGTTTAGAGAAAAGATATCATGACACTCACTGGGTAGTTATTAGCACCGCTAAACTGAGAGTCATCAAAGTATGACAGTTAAGAATAAAGTGCTTAACATTGGAGTGACTGACTTCTAATCCTGCTTCTGGATTTTATTAAACTATGTGACCTCGAATAAAATTGATAAATATCTTGGACCTCAGGTTTCTCATCTTTACACTAAGCATAATAATCACTACTTCCCAGGGTTGTCATAAGGATTAAATCAGAGAATGCATGAAAAACTGAGCATGTAATGAGAAGAGTGCTATTTAGTTAGCTCTCAATAAAGGTACCAATGTGGGGCTGATGAATATGGTCCTAGGAAATAATTAGAGAAGGAATTTCTGAATTTAGGATGATTCTAGATTTGGTAGAAATGGTCAAGTGGCTTTGAAAGAACAGAGAATCTTAACTAAAATGTTGGTTAACTCTTGCAAGAATCTGCAATGTATCTCTAGTGATTACTTTTTAAAATCTTTATTTAAAGCCTGTAACAAGCACAAATGCCTTGCATATTCGTTTGTTGTATTCTGGAAATCAAGGAAAAATGTACTGAATTCCACATCCTGGGTTGGGTGTGGGAGTGGGGTGCATGTTTGTTTTCTGTCACCCCATAACAAATTATGGCATATTTAGCGGCTTAAAACAGCATCGTCTTATTAGCTCACCATTCCAGTTAAGATTAACTTGAATGATAAACACTCATTTATTAGTTCACAGTTTGTATGTCAGAAGTCCAGGCAAGTTTGATGGAGTTCTCTGTTTAGCATCTCCCAAGGTCAGAATCAAGTTGTCAGCTGGGAAGCTTTCTAATCTGAAGGCTCTGGAGAAGAATCTGCTTCCAAGCTCTCTCAGATTGCTGACAGAATTCAGATTCTTGCAATTGTAGGACAAAGGCCTTCTCTGCTTGCGGGCTCTCAGCCAGGGGTTACTCTCGCAATTAGAGGCCACTTTCCAGTCCTTGCACATGGTCTGCTCCATCTCCAAAGCCAGCAATGGCTCATTGAAACCTTCTCAGGCTTTAAATCTCTTTCCTGCTATCTTTTGGATAAAACACTGCCTTAAAGGGCTCATATAATTAGGCCAGAACCACCCAGGTAATATCCCTTGTCATTATCTCAAAGTCAACTAACTTAATTACATCTGCAACATCCCTTTTACCATGTAATGTAAGAGAACCACAGGAGTAACATCAGAGACAAAGGTTAAGGTGCCATTTAAAAATTGGAACCAACCCAAATGCCCATCAATGATAGACTGGATAAAGAAAATGTGACACATATACACCATGGAGTACTATGCAGCCATAAAAAAAGGATGAGTTTATGTCCTTTGCGGGGACATAGATGAAGCTGGAAACAAATTCTCAGCAAACTAACACAGAAACAGAAAACCAAACACTGCATGTTCTAACTCGTAAGTGGGAGTTGAACAATGAGAACACATGGACACAGGGAGGGGAACATCACACACTGGGGCCTGTCGTGGGGTGGGGGGCTAGGGAAGAAATAGCATTTGGAGAAATACCTAAATGTAGATGACAGGTTGGTGGGTGCAGCAAATCACCGATGGCATGTGTATACCTATGTAACAAACCTAAATGTATCCCAGAACTCAAAGTATATTTAAAAAAAAAAAACAACAATTCTGCCTACCACAGAGAAATGGGAACAGTTCTATGAGCTGAGACCTAAGAGAGATCAGGAGTTTTACCCAAGTACAGAATAGAAGTGATCATGAAGACACAAACCCCAAGGGGACCCAGCAGAGGGGCTTGGCTGACATCTGCCTTACAGAACCTTGCTACAGATTATTTCAGGGCACCAGGAACCCTGACACAAAATAGATTTCACTGCCAAACCCATCAGTCATAAGAGGGAAATCCAGAACTCCTTAATGGCATGCAGCTCTTAGTGAAGGTTTCACATGCCCAGTGGCAAATCGTGTTTTCATCAGGATGGAATGTCATGGACATAAATATGCTGTAAATAAAATTGGAGACATATGTTGCTGGAAACACAAAATAGAGAAACTCACTGTGAATTGAGGAAAATAAACCTTAAGATGATGCTTTCAAGATATTGTAAAAATGTTGCAGCTCTTGAGTGATTTTTATAACAGCGTAAGAGGATGACTATCTAAAGCTGTCACAAACAGCTCCTTGAAAATAACTGAATTCAGAACATGACTAATAAAATCTCAGGGATGTATATCAAAGGGGAGACCAAGGAGACTCTCACCTTTCATCCTGCATCCTGGAGGGCCACTTGTTCCTAGTTAGGGTTAGGGTATGGAGATTCACAGGGGAAATAAATAAGTTAATTTTGTTAATAAAGCATAATTTATATTGAGTAAAGTACACAGATAATGTGTCTGATTCAGCTAATTATCACAAAATGAACACAGTGTAACTCAGTTACTTATCACAAAGTGAACGTGAATGTAACTCAGTTAATTATCAAAAATGAACACATACGTATTGTTCCAAATCAATAAAGAGAATGTCACCTGTGTTTCAGAAGCCTCCCCAAGCCTCTGTCCATTCACAGTGCCCAATCCCCTCCCTTGATAACTCTTTCTCTGGCTTTTAATATCCTAGATGAGTTTTGCCTGGTTTTCGATGCTATTTAAACACAGTTATGTACTACATATTCATTTGTGCCTGGCTCTTTTGCTCAGCATTATGTTGTCAAGTATAGATGTAGCTCATTCTCACTGCTACATAATATTCAATTGGATGAAGTCACCACAATGTATTTATCCATTCTACTGTGGTACATTTGGGTTGTTTCTAGTTTGGCTACTAAGAGTAGTGCCAGTATAAATATCCACACACAAATCTGCACCTTCTCACACCCAATTCTGTTTGTTGTATGCCTAGGAGAGGAATCGCTACATCATAGTGAATTCATGCATTCGACATTAGTAGATGATATCAAACCCTTTTCCAAAGTGGCTGCACCAATACATCCCCACCTTCAAAAGCACTGTATAGATCTACCCAATATACGGTATTGTCCATCTTCCTAATTTTAGCAATTCTTCTGTATGTAGTGGTATTTCATTGTGGTTTTCTTTTGCATTTCTCTGATCACAAATAAGGTTGTGTACTTTTAGTATGTTTACTAGCTATTTGGATATTCTTTTTTTTTTTTTTTTTTCTGAGATGGAGTTTCACTCTTGTTGCCCAGGCTGGAGTACAATGGCACCGTCTTGGCTCCCTGCAACCTCTGCCTCCTGGGTTCAAGTGATTCTCCTGCCTCAGCCTCCTGAGTAGCTGGGATTACAGGCATGCACCACCACACCCGGCTAATTTTGTATTTTTAGTAGAGACAGGGTTTCTCCATGTTGGTCAGGCTAGTCTCGAACTCCTGACCTCAAGTGATCTGCCTGCCTCTGCCTCCCAGAGTGCTGGGATTACAGGCATGAGCCACTGCACCCAGCCTATTTGAATATTTTTATGTGGAGAGTGCTTATTCACTCTCCCTCATGTTTCTGTTGGGGTTTCTGTCTTCTTGTTTTTTATTTGTGGGATTTCTATATTTTGGATTTGAGACCTTTGTTGATTATAGATGATGTACAAAAGATCATCTCCCACTTTTTGGCTTCCTTATTCATGCTGTTTGTGGTGTCTTTCTTTCTTTTTTTTTATTTTTATTTTTATTTTATTTTTTTGAGTCTCCGTCTGTCGCCCAGGCTGGAGTACAGGGGCTCAATCTCAGCTCACTGCAAGCTCCACCTCCCGGGCTCATGCCATTCTCCTCCCTCAGCCTCCTGAGTAGCTGGGACTATAGGCGCCCTCCATCATGCCCAGCTAGTTTTTTTTTTTTTTTTTTTTTAGTAGAGATGGGGTTTCATCGTGTTAGCCAGGATGGTCTCGATCTCCTGACCTCGTGATCTGCCTGCCTCAGCCTCCCAAAGTGCTGGGATTACAGGCATGAGCCACCGTGCCCGGCCTGTTTGTGATGTCTTTCTACAAATAAGAATTTTTAATTGTAAAGTCCAGTTTATTATTATTTTTTCTTCTTTCTGGTTAGTGTTATTTGTGTGTGACACATTTCCTGGGAGGTTCTACTTCCACTTAGGGACTAGAAAGCCACAAGATAACATTGCTCCCATCCTAACAAAAAGAAAAGGCTGAATCATTTACAAAGTCATCCTTTTTTGGAAACCATCAGAAATCTGAGATTGCATGACAACCTAGTGAATTTAATGCCAAAGTGACAGGCCTCCTTGAGGAAAATCAGGAAACTCAAATTGTTTCAGATTTGGTAAGGCACAGGAGAAAGCGGCAGAAACAAGTAAGAAGAAATCATTTCACATTTTCACATATGCCTAAGGGCTGCATGTGAGCTCATATATCACTTTAGAGCAGGGATACCCATGGTACAGCCCATGGCCTGTTAGGAAGCAGGCAGCACAGCCGGAGGTGAGCAGTGAGAGCATTACCTTCTGGGCCCCACCTCCTGTCAGATCAGCAGCAGCATTAGATTCTCACAGGATCCACAGGATCCCCAGCCCTACTGCGAGTGTGAGCTGCACATGCAAGGAATCTAGGTTGCGTGCTCCTTAGGAGAATCTAACTAATGCCTCATGACCTGAGGTGGAACAGTTTCATCCTGAAACCAAACCCTGCTGCCCATGGAAAAATTGTCTTCCACAAAACTGGTCCCTGGTGTCAAAAAGCTTTGGGGACTGCTGAATCTGGGAGCCCAGACAGAAGGGGTGTGCACACTCATGCTTAGGCTCATTTTCGTGGGTCTGCACTCAGGACTTACAGGACAGATTGGAGGCAAGCAGTAGAGTGAGAAAGTGGCTCTCACTGGAGCAGGCATTCAAGGAGGGATCCACTGCTGCTGGGGCCTAATACAAAACTTCACCCACTTCCCTGGATCATTCACTCAAAGGAAGCAAATGCCATAAGGGCAGGCACAGCAATCCTCCTTGCACCCTAGGCTACCAAGTAAAGGGTAGAAGTGAAATCAGCCTGCCTCTGGTAGCGGGATCCACAGTGATCTGCCACTGTAGGAGAGACAAAGAGGAGAGCAAGATGCTGCCCACACTAGAGGCACATAAATTGCTAAAAACTAGGGGTATGGAAAGAAGAGTGAGACAAGCCCTCTGGCATCTATACTTGATTAGTTGGCTGTAAGTATTTGGCTTTACCTCTGGGTCCTCTATCCTGCTCCATCACTATGTGCCTATTTTTATACCAGTACCATGCTGTTTTGGTGACTATGATCTTATAGTATAGTTTGAAGTTGGGCAATGTGATTTGTCCAGATTTGTTCCTTTTGCTTAGTCTTGCTTTGGCTATGTAGGCTCTTTTTTGTTCCATATTAATTTTAGGATTATTTTTTCTCTTTCTGTGAAGAATGATGGTGGTACTTTGATGGGAATTGGATTGAATTTGTAGACTGGTTTTGGCAGTATGGTCATATTCACGATGTTGATTCTACCCATCCATGAGCATGGGAGGTGTTTCCATTTGTTTGTATCATCTATGAATCTTTCAGCAGTGTTTTGTAGTTTTCTTTGTAGAGGTCTTTCACCTCCTTGGTTAGATATATTCCTAAGTTTGTTTGCTTTTTTTTTGTAGTTTTTTTTTTTTTGGCAGCTATTGTAAAGGGGATTGAGTTCTTGATTTGATTCTCAGCTTGGTCACTGTTGGTGTATAGCAGTGCTACTGATTTGTGTACATTGATTTTGCATCCCGGAACTTTACTGAATTCATTTATTTGCAAGCTGCATATGTAACAATGGACTAATATCTAGAACAAATGAAAACACTCAACAATTAAAACAAACAATCCAATTAGAAAATAGGTAAAATATATGAAAATACATTTTGTCAAAGAGGATTAGAAACAGGCACTTGTCCTGGAAAAATGAAAACTTGTTTTTACACAAAACCCTGTGCACTATTTTCTTTGATAGCCTTCTATATAGTAGCCCCAAACTAGAAAATATCTAGATGTCCTCAATAGGTGAATGGTTAAATAAACTGTGGTATATCCATACCATGGAGTACTATTTAGCAATAAAAAGAAAGGATCTATTGATTTATGCAACAACGTGGATGAATCTCCAGGGAATTATGCTAAGTGTAAAAAGCCAATTTCCAAAGATTACATGCTTTGTAATTCTGTGCATACAACATTCTTAAAATGACAAAATTATAGAGATGGAGAACAATTTAATGACTGACAAGGATTAAGGAATAGTTGGGGGCAGAAGGGAAGCAGATGTGGCTATAAAAGGACAACATGCTGGGTACTTGTGGTGATGGAAATGTTCTATATCCTCACTATATTAATGTCAGTATTCTGGTTTTGACATTATAAGTTATTACAATTGGAGGAAACTAGGTAAATAATGCACAAGTCTCACTTTATTTTTTCTTACATGAATCCACCAATCTCTCTGTATTATTTCTTTCAAGTGCATGGAAAGCACAATTATCTCAAAGTTTAATTAAGAAGAAGTAAGAAGAGAACATGACATGACTTAGCAAAAGCATTAGAAAAACCCAGAGATTTCAAGTGATATTTTGCACTATATAGTGAAATGGTATTGTGTTACCAGAAACACCAAACAAATAAAACTCATGTAATTTTAGGCTTTATTCAGTGCCTAGAATATATAAACTGGTGGTTTCTATTTTTAGCTGGCCATTTTTAAGTGGTATGTTGCTAAATTCTGGGTACTGCCCTTTAAGAGGAATTTAAAGGAAATTCAAAACCAAGATATAGGATGAGGAAGACACTGGAAACCATGCCATGCATAAAATATTTGGAGAAATGACAGTTTACCCACAAGACGGGACTCAGTGGTCACAGCACGGTACTCTTTAATTATCTGAAGAATTATTGTATGGAAGAATTACACCTTCTCTGTAAGATCCCAAGGAATAAAAACAGGACAAATTGGCATAAGTCAGAAGAAGAGAGATTTCAATTCGACATAAATGTGCCCCTTACCTGGAGTGAGTGGGAATCCTCCAACATAAAGTAGGCCTATTACAATTGTGTAACTATGAACAGGCAAATGTGGGTTGGTATATTGCAACAAGAGTGTGGGTGTGAGGCATGATTGCAACTTCTCAACTACATTGGCTTTCCCTGGGGGAGAGTTATCACCACAGACTTTATTTAGGATATTCATTGGTGGGCTGGTCAGCCTGAAAAAGTATCCAGCGGTTCAGCTTGAGGCTGTGTCACTCAAAATCCAGAATGACAGCGTAACTTTGGTGCAGCTTGAGTAGAGATCGTTTATAAGTAGCTGCTTATGTCTCTAAGGAAAGTGGATCTGCACCAGATACCCGACTCAATAGATGTGATAGAATATGATCTCCTGGTCTCTCATTAAATTTGGAACTGACCAAGGATAAAATTGGCCTATTTCATAGGTAGGGATCTTCTTCCAAAAGTGGTGTTCACACATTACAGAAGCAAAATGGTGACATGCAAAGATTATGGGCTATGGGACATTCTAAGCTTGATCTCAGATTCTGGCCATTACACATTACTAGTTGTATGGCCTTGATCTATACCCTCTCTGGAACTCAGTATCCTTAGTCTCTCAGCTGAGATGATAAAAACATCTACCTCGAAGGGTTCATGTGATGGATTAAATAATGTATGCAAAGCACATAGCAATAGCAGAGTATATAGAATCAGAGCAAGCATGCAACAGATAGTATTACTTTTCTTTCTCTTTCCCTGGTTGATGAGGTGTTAGGTACGTTAGAAATGAGATTTGGCCATGTGATGGACTTTTGAACTAAATGAGTGGCATTTAAGGCCCGTCTATGCCTGAAATAATTTTTACTGATTAGAAAGAGAGGGAGAGAGAGATGAAAACCAGTAAGCATAAGCTTTTCCTGGGAAAATCAAAATGTTAATAGGATAGTATTCAACTACCATTGCTTAAGTGTATGAATTGGGAATGAGGGCCTATTCCCAGGCCACACACAGAACCGCTCGCCACTTGAACCCTAACTTCTAATCTTCCAGTGGCTCAAGTGGTGGGCAGTTCTGTGTGTGGCCTGGGAATAGGCCCTCATCCCCAACTCTGTGCCACACCATAATCAGGTCCTTGAAGGGCCCTCTTCTGTCCACAAGCACACAACATCACTTTAGAAGAATACCATTAGCTTTGGTGCTACCTTTTCCCCTGCTTGGTAGCATCATTCCACCTCTCCAGCCTTTTTTCTTCCTTTCTGACTTTTCCTTTGATCCAACTTTTCTCTTCTGCCAAAAGTTCTTATGGAAATAATTGAAGACAAATATTGGTGTGTATAGATTGATATTAAGTATCTAACAACAGTGTGGTATGGCATCAGACAATCAGAGTAAATGCAAACAACAGAAACACTGGGACAAAGTCCTGGAGTTCCTCTTCCATGAGTCATTAACCCTTTAGTTGCTGGATCCTAGAGCAACATTGTAGAGGGGCTGTACAAGAGTAAATAACACATAAGGGAAGAAGCTATATATCAACCAATATTAATATTAACAATCTGTATGGCCATGCTGATACATACATGCTAAATATCAGCCCTATTCTGAGGGAAAGGGTGGGTGTGTATGAAGTAAGGGTGTATAAGGCAGGGGAGAAGTGAAGGTGGGATATATTCAACAGAAGCCTCGGGTACTTATACATACATTTGCCTGTGACTTACTCATGATGAATCTTTAATCTTGTTGGGAGGCCTTTTCCAAAAATGTCTGTGGACTTCCAGACAAGAATCCTCTATTTTTACCTCCCTTCACAACCACCCACCTAATTCATGTGTACTTTTTAAGAATGCAAACTTATTCAAGTTTTAGCCTACAAAAATATAACTAGGAACCTCCCTTGCAAATCTGCTGGAGAAAAAAAAAGCATTAAACAAATTCAGTTTCAAATAAGTTAAAATGTATTTAATTTTCCTCTGCATGATATCATAGATAAAAGGCTGCGATGCAATGAATGGAGAACAAATAGAATTGTGGTGTTTCTCATTGTCCTGCTAACTATTTATGTTACTTAACTTCACTGTCTTAATTTCTTACCCTGTAAAGTGAAGGAGTGTGGCTAAGACTATAAATTAATAACTGTTTAAAAAACACAAAAAGGGGACAGGAGTAGGAAGACAAATGATATACTGAATTGCCGATAAAGTTAGAGTGAACAAAAACATTGTTGAATATAGGGTATTTCTTAGTTTTGTGATTTTTGAGAAATTTTATCACAGCTTGTATTTAGATTTATTATGCTGAATATATGTCATGGCTAAAGTCCATCATTATTCATCGGGATAGTAGGTTGAAACTACATTAACTCTTATAGCTGCTAAATGGTTTATTTTACTGATGTTTGGTATCTCATTAAAAATAATTAACATTCAAAGGTAAGGTTAAGAGAAAAGTCAATAAGTCTTAGGATAAATGAAAGTCAAAGTACAATCTATCATTTACAACCTTCAAGTAGAAATTTGCAGCTTAAATATAATCAGTGAAAGTCTTTGCTAACATTGGTTATTGCTTGGTACTAAGCTTAAGGACATTTTTCTCCTTTATTCTCTTTGAACTTTTCCCACAGGGAGTATACATTAATTTTATTATCAGAATAATAAAAAATTTATTACAAATAATTAGAAAACCTGTAAGTAGAAGATAGAATAAGACTAATCTAGTAATTTGATGTATTTGATGGATATTAGCCAGTTGGTAGCCTTGGGTCTTTTTTGGAGGATAATACATTGAATGTATATAATATAGCATATGAGTAATCAAAATGATTTGAACTTTATATATGTATATATTTTATAATGGGCTATAATATGACATGATGTAGTATAGAAGTGGGAAAATAGGCTCTTGGATAAGTTAAATCACTGAATCAAACTCACTGTCTGGATAGTGTAAGTAAGAAAGCTACATTTGGATGTCACATCTTTTTATTCCCACCTGGATATTGAGCTCTAAAGCAAACTCTTCAGTCTTATAAAGGTCATTAGGGTCACCACACAGATGGACAGGTTCTTTAGATGACCAGAGAAACACTTCTATCTCACTCCTTTTAACATAGTGGAAATTAAAAAGCAGTCCAGATGAGGTGAATACAAGAAATATGCTTCCAGGAAACAAATCAAATGAAGGTCCTTAAAAAGAACTTAGAATTCCCAAATGACTGAAAATGACAATTTATTGCACTCTTCTCTCAGGAAAGAGAGAAAACAGTGATGTATCAGTTTCAGACAATAAGATGTCACCCAAGAGGTCAAGAGCAGGCTTAGGATGTGTGCATGCTTAGGCAAGAGCAAGGGAATTTGGAAGTAGACGAGGTGTGGAATTCAAGAAGGATTTATTAGCAGCTTGTAGTAGGACTCCACCTTGGAGCTGAACTCCAATTTTGTTGTACAAAGAATATAAAAGGATAGAAATATAGCTATAGAATCTCAATTTGAAGAAACTAGATTACTAAGCAACTTTTATTGCTTGTTATCAGACTCTATACAATAAGGTAAGAACTCAGTGATGGATTCTGGCGTACAAGCAGAAAGCTACATTTAGGATGGCTCAGCTTTTCCCAAGAGTTTTTAGACACTAACCCATGTAGCAAAGAGGGGATTATATCTATGCTTCTTATAATTATAGCTACAATTACTAAGATGTATAAAATATCTACTAAGCTTTAGATACTGTACTTTATCTTTTAATGTTGATTATTTAATCCATTCAACCATTCTTCCAAAATTAATACACAAAATTTTATTAAATAGTAAAAACACGCATCTTGTTCTCATCTTGATATTCTGATATTTTATATTCATTTGATTTCTAAAGAAATAAGACTCAATGTTATAACATGTTCTCAGCCGTACAGCGTTCATTACAAATACAAGTTGTATCTCAAAGCTAAATATCGCATTAAATCCCCACTGAGATGTGCAAATCTTCATAAAACTCACCATCATTTGAGAGAAAATAGAGGCTGGTGGGGAGGCATAAACTAAACAAGGGAGATCTGTGCCATTCTGTCTAAAGCTCAGAACAATTTTCTATATTTGATGTCTTCATCATTAATTTCTTGGCCATTGCATTGTATCTTGTTTGCAATAGAGATTCCTAAGGAAAAAATGCTTTTATTTATGACATTTGAGCTCTCTCTGTTGATCTGCATTGCCATCTTCTATTTCCTTCGCACTATCACTATTGTCCCTTCCAACTGCCATGCTGAGAATTTTCTACTATCTTTTAGGTTCTTACTATCTTCACTCCACCCGAAGAATAATATACATACAGGTAGATGCACATAGGCACACGTATGCAACTTTCCTGACAACCGCAAATATCTTCTGCTTTACTATGAAGATCTTAACTCTTAGGTTAACTCCTTTCCATCCTCTTAACATTCATCCCCTATGAAAGAACGAGAGTTATACTTTCCTATTTCTGCTTTACAAAAATAAACACAAAATATGCATTCTAATTTTGGTGGTTAGATGGGTATATACCGACCTATACTGACCTACTGACCTAATAAATAATATCAAGCTTGACAATCCCCATATAAAACTGTTTAATGTTTAATAAATAATTCAATCATTTTGTGGCTGAGAATACTCTGAAAAGATCTACACATTCTTTCCTAATTTAACACACAAAATGGTATGCATAGTCCATTTTGGAATTCCTGCTCTTGAAACTGGAATGAATTCAATACCATATGGAAAAGTTCCCTTATATTCTTTTTGCATATGGCCATTCTGTAGATAAATTGATAGACCCTTTTTATAGAGCTTTCCTGCACTGGGATGATTTAAGTGGTATATACATTGCATAATAACAACCTGAGCTTCATTTGAATGCACACTGTTGAGGAAAGATTTTATTGTTTCTCCTCAGGTTCTCTGTATTATTACTAGTACTGAGAGTTAACAATGACTACAATTCCCCTCATTACAGCCAAATAGATATTTTTAAATTGATTTATCCACATATAAGTGATTCATAATCATCTCCATGATGAGCTATTTTTTACCATCCTTATATCATAAGAGATAAATATAAATCCCCATTTTATAGATTAGTAAGCAGGCCACCCTTGAAATTAGCAATTTAAATGCCAAAATGAGCTATCTCTATTCTGAGGTATTATCAATATCTCTTAAGCTTTTGAAATACTTTTAGCTGATTTGGCAACCTAACCATGAATGAGCATGAGAAGTTGATTCAATCTGTAAGTTGATGGGGAAGACCGTGAATTACACGTGTGTAGAGACTCCATCTGTTGTGCTCTTTGCAGTGTCTCTCTCCCCAGGACTTGTTGCTGACACAGCGTAGGCACTCAATAAATACATATGGAGTAGAATAATAAACCTCAATGCTGAAGTATTCACATTGTTTTAAAGTGTTTTTTATTAGCATAATGAAAAGATTGCTAACAGGAATAAATAACCAATGCCTAAAACATTTTATTCTAAAGCAAAGATTTGTTTCTTCCTCCCTGTGCTAAGGCACACATCTATAAAAGCTGGCTTAATACTTAACACTTAAACATAGAGAGTGTATCAGTCAGACACAGTTGCATCAGTTAGAGTCACTGGCAGAAAACAGAATTCACTCTACCAAGATTAAGCAGAAAGGATTTATTCTAGTGTAGTAAACAGCAAAAGGATTGTTAAAAGGACCAGAGAAACAGGTTTTAGACTGAACTTCCAGGAAGAACACTGACAAACTGAGCTGCCATGAACATTTTGCCTTGACTAGGAAGCTGTAGAATCAGAAAGCTGACAAGGAGATTGAGAAATTGGTTGTTACAGTTGACATAATCTGCATAAACAAAATCGATATTACTGACTCCACCTCTTTTCCAAACTAATCTGGTTCTGTAGTCAAGACTCACAGAAATATATCTGATTGATGGAATTTAATTCACATCAAGAATGCTAGCTGCAGGGGGCTCTGGGAAAAATAATTTTAGCATTCCAACCTCAGCATTATATCAAGGCACACAATATAAGTGGCACAGAACTTTTGTGTCCCCATGACATGGTCCTCCACTGAATTCAGTTTTTAACTCCTTCCTACAAAATTAGAATTTCAAGCAATATGACATCACACATTACACAAATCCAAGGTTATTGGATATGCGAAGTCTGACCACTTTCCTCATCACCTGCCAGTCATAGATGAAATGGTGCTGCCACATCCCCAAAACAAAATGCCACAATTTAGTTAGGAAGTCATACTTAATGCAACACTGCTCTCAGATTAGACGTTTTGCTCAATTAATAGTTACAAAACATAGAAGATAGTAGAATGCTGTAACTGAAATACACGTATAAACAGAGCAGCAGAAAAAAAAATGTGTAAGAAAGAATAATTTCAGAAGCTGTAACACAGCTGTAGCACAACAGAGACTGCAGCAGCTGGCAGAGCAGCCTGGTATCCAGACAATACTAGATCCCTGACCTTGGGTAAATCTCTTAAATTCGCTAAGCCTCAGTTTCCTCATCATGAAAATGGAGTAAATAAAGGTACATAACTCATAGAGTTTTCTGAGGGTTAATTGGGTTAGAATTGTGCCTTGAAGATTGTAAGTACACAATAAATGTTAGCTGTTTTAACTAATCAGTTAACAAATAAATCACATTTTCATCTAATATCTACTCTCAGCAGTAGGGCCTGAGAGGGATGCATGACAAAATATGACCCAATCCTGACTCCCAAGTGTATTACTCAGGGTTCTTTAAAGGGACCGAACTAACTGGATAGATGAATATATGAAGGGGAGTTTATTAGGCAAATTGACTCACACAATCACACAGTGAAGTCCCGCAACAGGGCGTCTGCAAGCTGAGGAGCCAGGAAGTCAGTACGAGTCCCAAGACCTCAAAAGTAGGGAAGCCAATATTGCAGCCTTCAGTCGGTAGCCAAAGGCCTGAAAGCCCCTGGCAAACCACTGGTGAAGGTCCAAGAGTCCAAAAGCTGAAGAACTTGGAGTCTGATGTTCGAGGGCAGGAAGCATCCAGCACAGGAAAAAGATGGAGGCCAGAAGACTCAGCCAGTCTAATCCTTCCATGTTCCTCTGCCTGCTTTTATCCTAGACACACTGGCAGCTGATTAGATGGTGCCCACCCAGATTAGGGGTGTGTTTGCCTCTCCCAGTCCACTGACTCAAATGTTAATCTCCTTTGGCAACACCCTCACAGACACACCCAGGAACAGTGCTTTGCATCCTTCAATCCAATCAAATTGACACTCAATATTAACCATCACACCAAGATACTTAGAGTAGAATTCAGAAAAATTAGCAATCCAAGGCATTAGAAAGTGTTGTATGTGACTAGTGAACATAACAGAGAAAGTTTTTGTTTTTCTTTATTTTTAGGAAAGGCCTTAAGAAGACGAGAAAGAATATTCGTAGACAGCAGCAGCTTTGACCAGCAGAAATTGCCAGTATAAGATCAAGGATAATCTAGGGGGCAGTGTGGAAAACTTGGTTGAACTCATGTGGATCTTTCCAGCCGAAGTAATATCTAAAAACAGAAACCATCACAGGACATAGCATCATCTAGGACTCACAGGAAACATGGTTTGAGATAAAATGGATGAAACATTTTGGTTTTTGTTTTGATGCTATTTTTCTATAAACAAATAACATAAGTAATCAGGCATCTATTCAGAGGCTCTTATTCAGCATTTGTGTGATAAAGAAGGAATTAGACAAACATTGAAAACCAAAAATATATCAAAGCAAGTGACTTCCAAAAGTAAATTCAAATTATACCTATATGGTATAGCATTAAAACTGCCCACAGGAGATGTGATCATAGGTTCATTGAACGATGCATAACTACGGCAACCTGAATCTGGCAAAGAAGAGTCCAATTTATGTAGAATTTCATATTTCTGTAAAAGTCTTAAAAGAATATTCATTTTGATTAGTCATTGTTGTGGAAGATATTTTAAAGAGGATATGTTTGACTTTTCTTCCCAAACCCTGTTAGAATGAATGAACTCACCTCTTTTTATATAGCCAGGTACTTCATAGAAAGGAATACTCTTTTAGGATTAGTTTAGCCAAATGGAAGTTCTTTATCTGGAGTTGCAATAAACATCAACTTCCCCAAATTCAGGAAAAACAGTATGTTCGATACACATTTATTGAGCCTCTATTCCAAGCTCATTACTTACCAGATGCTGTAGTGGGGGTACAAGGTTTAAGATGAGATTCCTGTTTGTAGAGATTATTCAATCTAATTGGGGAGTGAAATTATATATGGATGAAAAGGTGAATAATAAAAATAAGGTAAATAAGACAAAAATACAAGAGATATTGTTGGGTAATGCATGAGTACACACACGCATACACAAGCACACACACACACGGTTTTACAGGTTAAGTGTAACTATTCAAAGACATGAGATTACTAAGAGCTGATATAGACAAAATATTATTTGTGGTGGGTGAAAGGCTGACAAGAGTTGAACAGTTTTAACAGAGAGAAGGAAAGGTGTATTTCAAGTGTTGGAAAGAGAATGATCCAAATGCATTTTAAGAATACATAAGGCTAATATTTCACAAGTCTAGATATTTAGAGGGAACCAATGAAAATAAAAATGAAAACACAGTTTGGGGATGGATTGTGGAAGTCTTTGAGTGCCAGGATAAGGAATTAGTATTAATAGAGAAGGCAACAGAACACCACTGCAATGTTTTCAGCAGGAGAAGAAAAAGATAAATTAGTCTGGCAACATGCATGGGGTAATCTGGATGGAGGGAGATAAGCTGGGTGAGAATTTTACAGAAAGCCAGTATGATATGCTGAGGGTCTAAACGAGACTGACATCTGTGAGTGGAGAGAGGAGAATGCAGAAGTGGAAGACATTCTTAAAGGAAAAAAAAAGATGGTGCTTATTAGGAAATAACTGGTATTGTAAAAGTGATGAAAATATTTTTCATTTCTGATGAAATAGAGAAAGATAGAGCAAGACGGAGAAGGAGAACAGGAGACAAAGACAGAAATTTGGCCTCTCTTCAGATTGAATTCCAAAGGGGAAAAATATTAAAAATTGTAGTCATGATTTTTGTGTCTTAATTCTTTAAAAGAACAACCTAGGGCAAATGTGTGTTTTTATCTTCTAAATAGAAAGAAACTGAGAGGAGCTTTTTGACATTATTAAGTCCGTCATTAAGGCTCTTGGATTAACACGCTGCAGAGGTCCACTAATGGTGGTTTTGTTAAAAGAATTAATTGAAGAGGAGAAACTAATTGCTACACAATGGTCATCTAAAATATTCATCCATTACTGGCTCAAGGGATGGCCCACTGGGATGGCAATCACGGCACCAATGGGCTTTCTAGAATACTTGTTGGAGCTTACCCTAATTCCTAAGAGTCTTCTGGATCATTTACAGGCAACTATCAATTTATCATCAAATAATCTCAGTAAATCAGCCTACAATAAACATTATTAGAAAAAGAAAGAGAATGCTTGCAATAAAGTGGATTTCAGAGAGGGAATAACTTGAAGCACGCTGCATTGGCACAACATTCCTTTATGGCCAGTACTGTGTGAGCAGTAACAGAAACATCAGGCATTGAATGGAAACTACCTATGCATTCTCCATTTAAAAGTGTTTAATTTAGCATGAGAATTAACATATGCAAGTGGCATTATCAAGCACATTCTCTGAATTATTTGAAAGGCGTATTTTCATGGGTTAAAAAGCTTCACTTGTGACTATGATTACTGTGAAAACTAGCACTACCTGATACATCTCTCCAAAGCCAAATGAAATATTAAATAAAGACTCGACACAGGAGGGTTTAATTCTGGTTTCTCTGATAAAAGTTGTCTACTGAAAACTATCAAGAGTTCAATGGTAGGAGAAAGATACACTTGCAGGAAAAAAAAAATGAATGAATGAATGAATGAATGAATCCTTCTTGCTGGAAGTTCTCCACAATGTAGATTCTGTACAATTTTACATTGTCACTGGGCACTGTGAGCTCACTCTCCAAGTGGTGCCCTTTCAGTTCTGATACAAATCACTGTAAAGCAAAATGCAGTGCCCAGCTGGGAAAGCAGGTGTAAAATGGACCAACTAATTACAGCCTTGTCAAGTAATGGCTACAAGGCAACCAGTGACTGCCCTGCTAGTGAATTTTGGGTGATTTCAACCAATTGGATTAAGAAATAACAGAAAGGGAAAAAAAGCATATAAGCCACAGAGAGAGATGAGACCAAGATTGTAATGTTCTTTGATCAGAGAAGAGAAAGGGCAGAAGATTTTAGGAAATGGCCCATTAAGCCAAACATGGAAAGAAAAAGATGGATAGATTGTTTCAGGGCAACTTGGAGGTCTCTCACTTCGGTTTATTTGCTGGGACTGCTGAGTTAGACTGGATCAAAAAAGGGGCCCCAGATGGATAACAATGCTTGCTCATTTGCAATCCACACTGGTAGACTTAACAGGCTTCCCAACAATCTTTTAAGAAGCTATAACTATGAAAACTTCTATGGATTGCAACCAGAAACAACCTCTAGTATCCTGAAACATTCAACAGCAAACAAAGCCTGAATGTCTGGGACAACAGCCACATTTCAATTTCCAAATCTTGGGCCTTTACTTTAAAATCTTCACAAAATGCAAACGGACTCTAACTCCCAAAGGGAAAAGAAAGTTATTACCAGGATCTACAAGGCTGCTCACTCTCCCCAGTATTCTTTGCCTAGGGGCCAGGAACACAGCATTTTAGCAGAATCCTGCTCAGCGAAGTAGAGGACGTAGTCCAGATGGAGGAGTCACCTGCTTCCAGGCAATTCATAGACACAATTATTATTGTCTGGCTTCTATCCAGAACCAAAATAAGGAGTTTAATATGCTAGGTCCAATAACTATATTCCAGTTGATTCAGGAAGTTTTAGAGAAATAATACAATATTTTCAGGAAGGAGTTTCATTTGGAACTATGATGGTAAAAAAAAAAATACCATCAATACTTATAGTAAAAATTGTACTGCATTATTACATTGACATCAAATCATTCCTTTAGAAAATCTCCAAGTCAGGATTATCCTATAATATTTTAGAGTTTGTCTTTATGTATGTCAATAAAGATGCCAACAACAACTTCAACAAAAGAGACTGACTTATAAGGCAATCAACTGCTGCAAACATAGGTATGTGCACACTTGGAAAATAGATTATTTCAACTAGAGCCAAGGTTACTTGAGAATAACTCAACATCTGGGTAACTGTAATTCCTGTCTTACTAAGCTAATCAATGATATATGAACTAAAGATTTCTTAACAGAAATTATTTTTCCATTAGACTTGTGACCATAAATTGCTTATTATTTCCTACATGATAAGTAGTTTTCTAACACAGTAATTATTTTTTAAATAAAGAAGAAAAGTGTTCCTCTTCCTACACTGTTCCAAAAAAGCATTTAAAGAGGTATACAAGATTTTAAAAACAGATGAAAAAGTTGGGAAGGATGGCAACAGACATTTCCAGGTTGTGGTTCAGAACTATTGAGTCATACGTTGCTCCTTCCCCAATTCTGTATTCTCCCTGTATTCTATGATGTTGTCGCTAAAGAAAGTGTGCTAAAACATTATGTTTGTACCTACCATCCCTAGAAACATCCAGAACTATTGTATCCATGAGAGATATATGACATGCCATCATAAACATTAGCCAATTGCATTCTAATATTCTTATGGGCATGAAAGGCTCTTCAGGTTCAATGAACCAACATTTAGAATAAAAGCATGCTAAACACCGTGTTATTGGTAAAGTCTTGACAAATGAAGTTTCTTTATATTTTTAGGACAATATTTTGAAGGTGTATAAAAGACTAGCCTAAAATATTTTAGTAAAATCCTTTCTTCCTCTTTTTCTCACTCATGTAAATCACAGTCTCTCATGGACTAAGCATCTGCCCCAGGAGTCAAAGATGTATTTAGTTCCTTGAAAAATGTCTGTTGAGTGTTGAGTATGTGCTAGATAGCATGCTAGGTTCAGTACAGTTACCTGATGCATGGAAGGAGCCAACAGACAACTAGTTTCCTTGTGCTACCTCTGTCACATTCACTGACTCTATCCACTTTTGTGACCTCCCTTCCTGAGGATTAATACAGAATTTGAGAGGCAAGAGCTGATAGTAAACCAGAGGCTACTGCAGTAGAAAGTAGAGAGAAAACTGAGGGCATTAAAAGGTAAAAATAAGCATGTCTTGCTTATTGCTCACCTGATGGGTCATAGAAAGGGAGCTACCAAGATTCATTTACAGCTTTATAACTTGTATGACCCAGAGCACGATGATGCCATTCAATAAATAGGAAACACAAGCAGAGCAGTTGAGGGACAGGGATAGCAAATGTGAGCTCAGTTTTTAATGTGACATTTAAACTGCATTAAAACATTTACAGCAAAAGGTCTGCTAGAGTGTGAGATGTAGTTGTACAGGTCAGAAGAGTGAAGTGGATGGGAGGAGCAGACTGGGAGTTTTCAGTGATTAGATCATGGTTAAAGTAGGAGAGCATGTGAGATGAAACAGGAAAGTGACTGGAGAAGAAGTTGGCCAACACTGGAGCCCTGTGACGTATCAGCCCTTAAAGGACAGCCAACAAAAGAGGAGTGCATGTAAAAAGCTCAGAATAAAAATGCAAGAAAGATCTGTCTTAGCCTAGCTTCCCCCCTCTAACCAGAGCCTGAGATAATACCTTGGAGCAGATAGTTTATTTTGTTAAGTGATTCCAAATAATAGGGATGGGGAACTAGGGACTGTAGAACAAGGAATGGGAGAAAGTCAGTCCAAGGTGTCTTGTTGAGCTCACCACTGTTATGGGCAATGGGGAGTCGGTCCTACTACAGATCTCTAAGGAACCATGCAGAATGCTCCTCAAAGTTGTCCATGCCTTGAGACAGAAAGAGTGGGCATTTACCCATTCACAGCCTTCTGTTCCTAGTGGTTAACATGTGACCTTTGATTGTTAACTCTCTTGCACTTTTAGATTTGGTGGTAAGAGGGAAGTTGGTTCATGTGGTAGTAGGAAGGAAGCCCTGAGATATACACATATATATGAGGGAAGATGCTTCCAGTTTAGCAGTATGAGCAGGTAGGTGCACAGTCATAGCTGGAGTAAAAAAGAAGGGCCAAGAAAATAAGAGGTGGGGCACAAAAAGGTTTCATATGATCTATTCCTTGCTCATGCCCCATCCATCAAACACACTTTGATTTAGCAGCTGTCTGCAGTTGCTAAAAAATACTCAATATACAAGGGTAAGTAGAACAACCTACACTCCCAGCTAATGTCACCCTTTTGCCTTTGTTAATATTACCATATCTTTCTTCTACCACCCATTCTAGATTTCCCTCATCCTCAGTCAGCACTGAAGTGGGTTTATCTTGCTCACTTGCAGAAGGGCTGATTTCATCCATGAGGAGATGGAGCTCAAAGCTGTTTAACTCTGGTTGCATTGCGATTGCCGCAATTGCTCATTTATAGTTGTCATTGGGCAGGAAAATAGGTGTACTTCATGGAGTCTAATGGCAATCAACTTGTCACCAAATGGCTGCCTGGAATCCTCAAGGATAGAACCACAATGTGATCCCAGCTTTAACTTTTGGTGCTGTAAGTTAGCCACTCAGCAGTGCCAGTAGCACTGATGGACATTAGTAAGAAAGAGCCCATTTAGTTGGGCCCATGCATGTCTTCTTTCCCTGCTACCATGGTGTATTAGGCTAAATCCAATCAGGGAACAAAAATCATACTATAGTTTAAACAGGGAAAGTTTAATATAAAAATAATACATGGATATTTAGATAAGGAGGGATGGGCTAGTAAGAAATCAAGAGAATCCTAAAGAATACAGGAATAGCAAACAAAAGGACTAGACACTACTCCTAGGGGTGAGATAGAGAACCAAGAAGAGGCTTCCCAACCTCAGGGCTGAGATCAAACCTTGGAGAGGATATGCATGTGTCTCACTGGATGGCAGTAAAGTCACTATGGTATCGTACTAGGAGAACTTGCTGGAAATCTGCTCCCTGAAACTTGCTGGGAATCTGTTCCCTAGGGTTCTGGGGAAAGTTGTTCATGGACAAAGGTACCCCCTAGGCACTGGGCTATAAAACCACCAGAGTGGGGGAAGCTGCTGGCTGCTGGGTGCTGTTGGCAGCCCTGCACTGCTGGGACCAGAGCTGGAGAGACCAGCAAGCTATAGGAGTCTGCCAAGCAAGTACAATGGAACCAAGAAGGAACAGTGATTCCCCCTGCAATGTCTCTCCCACCCACTCCACTCCACTAACAAAGCTTATAACATTGTGCCACCTGGTAAAGGAAAACTATTTAAAGGAACCATATCTATAGTCACAAAGTAGGCAAAAAAGGTTGAATTTAGAGCTGGGAAGCAATAGCTAGATAACCAGCATACATACCCACACTGCTCATGGACCCATTGCAGAAGCATTCAGTCTCAATAGGAAGAAGCAGGCTGACATTCACAGCATGAGCCTACCTGGCTATCGGGTTTGTGAATGGTCCTCTGTGGAGAGCAGTCTCTGATAGATCTTAACACAAAATATAAGCATCCCTACACTTTGGGTCCATTCTCATTGTCCACCCACATGCTTTTTTCTAAGACTTCCTTATTTCCAGTCTTTCAATATTGCTTCCTCCTGTCCCTGGATCAACTGGCTAAGCCATTCTTTCCTGTGCAGGAGACTGTGCATCTGTACCTCAAATCATATCTACTTCCATACAAGCTTGCAGCTCTGCCCACTAGGAGAATTTCCCTTCACTACTATCTTTCAGGGTCACCTCCGAGTTGGATTATAATGTTACAACAGGACCAAGATATCAGGAATAACTCATCTGTGAATCAGACTGATGGTTTCCTTCTCTATTCGATATTCAGAAGGACTCCCACCAAGAAGCCACAGGTGCAAGTTGAGAGAGAATCATCAGTAGGAGAGTATAGCTGCTATAGGAATCTGGGCCATGCCACATGCTTGCAAAACGTACTTATGCCCCCCAGACCTGTTCAGTCTCATTTCTAAATGAATCATCTCCACCGTAGTATAATTGATTGCTACTGGAGTAGGCCAAACTTATGAGTTGTTGGACCTGATAACATCCAGCTCATGATGTTGCCTCTGATCTCACAGTCACTTAGTTTCTCATGGTGAGACACTCAGTCTTACTAATCCCAGGGGCCTGCCAAGAACTACTTCTCAACACATGAGCAGTTCTCTGCAGCAGAAAGCATGCCCTGCTTCAGAACCTAGGGATCTGTGCTAAACTCTGTACAACTGGGGCCTACCAGATGTGCGCACAGAATGTTTTTTCTCACTATAAAGTCCTCTAGCACCATAGACCTTCTGAGTCGCATGGCATGAGGCTGGAGCTGATTATTACAGCAATTGCTGGGATAAAAGTGAGCCAAGACAATGTAAGGTAATGCACAGAATGTGTTCAACACAGGCAGAAAAATAAGTAAAAACTGGGATCTCAGAAAGAGACACAAGACTTTGCAGGAAGAAGTGGCCGTCAGTGACAAATGTTGCTTTAAATTAAAATGCTTATTTTACATAAAATAAGGACAGTGAAAGGGTATGTTATGTTTAACAGCAAATAAGTCTTAAGTGACCTTGAGCGGAAACAAGTCAAGTTTGTGATGCAGGCAAAATGTAGGTTGGTAAGAGCTGAATTGAGCCGAGCTCAGCAGCAAGCCCTGGCAGATTCCAGGAACACCATGTTATTGATTCTCTCGGCACTCTGGAATAACCAGAGGGTCCTGGGGCAGCTGGATCCTCTGGAACCATCCCCATAGCTGCTGATAGGCTTGGCCATTTATCATCTTCTCTGTGTGCCATGACATGAAAAAAAAGTGAAACACTGGGAAGTAGAAAGCAAATAAAGTGGCTACGGGAAAATCTTTTTAAAAGATTAGTAGAGATGGACGGAGGGAAAACAGCTGTAGCCAGAACAAACTCAGGATTTAAAGGGGTTTGCTTGAATATTTAGTATAAACATATTTATTAGTATGTCCATGTGCTTACAAGAGAGAAAAAAATAAGAAAAGAAAAAAAAAAAAAAAAGAAAAACAACCATTAGGAAAAAAGAGGTAGAAGACCCAGGAACAAGTCAGACATGAGGAAAGTTCATTGGGAATCCATCCAGTACACTTGGTAGATAGATTATTCTCATATACAATGAAAGATTCTTTTTACAAAGTGAAAGTGTTCCAAGTAAGATTTCAGAACACACTTTTTGAATCTGAATTGCATTCTTATATAGCATCCAAACAAGGTGAAAACCTTCAAGGTTTTCTTAAGTGTGACTTGAGTGGGTTAAACAAGATGTTCTCAGTTCCTAAACTGTTCCCTGGATATTAATTAGAAGTTCATGGAAATAGAATATAAGGTGCACCATTTTGCTGGATAAAACTTAAAAGAGTTAATACAAACTCCAACAATATCTAGGGAAGACAATGGCCTAAAAACTAGCAGCAATATGTTGAAGAGGTAAAGTCATGGTAACCCCATATAAGATCTTGGTAAATCTAGAAAAACTGGCGTAACTAACCTCAGCTGATATTCTACAGTGATGGAAAGATTATTATCTGAAAATGTATTTGCTATTTCTACTATCACATCAGTTTTATTTGGCTTGATTTTATGAATTTATTGATATAATTGGGGCCTTATAGGCCAAAATGCTATTATATTAGATACCTGTTTTTCTTTCCATTTTATTGTAGCTATGTTTGCTTCTAAAGAAGTCATTGTTCAGAAGTTTTTTAAAAATCTGTTAATAGCTCTGTAAGTGTCTTTCAAAGTCCTTCTCTGCATAATTTTTGTAATGTTTGTAAAAATTAGTATCTACTTTTATTAGCCAGCATAGATTATATGTATATACCATATAATAATATCAGTGCCGATTTTATTAATATATAATATTAACTAATAATATTAATGTAATAATAGCCAGGATGGAATATATATATAATGTAGGTATGTGTATTTATATGTTAACCTATTATGCTATATATGCATGTATCATACATTGTTCCAAGCTTTTATTTTTGAATAGGCAGAGCTGACAAAAGTTCTAAAGATAGGACATTTTCACATTTGGCATTTTAGTCAGATTCTGCTTTCATTATCTCTGTTGATAGGTTCTGTTTTTAATCTTATTCTATCGATTCTATTTTTCTGTTTTGCACACTGACACTTTATTTGATTCAGGAAAATGCGTCTTTTTCTGTTTGTTTGTATTTCTTGGTATTAGTGTCTGTATGCTGTGCAGAGCTCATTTGAGAATTCCTCACTCCTTGCTAGATTAGATGCACAAGTCTCTATCCCATGAGCAGCTCAACTAGAATCAGTTTACCATAATATAATAAATACAATGTACTAGTGAATATGTAAAACATCATAAGCAAAATGACAGTCATGGTGAAATCTGACTATAAGAAACAATTTACAAAATAAAACGAAGAAAAATGAGGTTAATTTTGAAACTGATCATCGTTAGAGGAAGACAGTTACAATGGAGAGTGGCGGCAGAATGAGAGGGGAATTGGCAGGAAATAGCCACAGATTAGCAGGGAACACATTAGCTGGAATTGTAGAATACTACAACTGAAAGAAACTTAGAGATTATTTGGTCTGCTCCCTTCAATGCACAGAAGATGAAAGAAGTGAAGAGAGAGGTTTGCTGTGTTATTTCTAATATCAATCAAAGAACCTGATTTCAGCGTGATAGTCTCTCGGTATCAGTGGGGGAATATGTTCCAAGACCCCCAGTGAATGCCTGAAACAGTGGATAACCAAACCCTATATCTATTACGTTTTTTCCTTAGACATACCCATGATAAAATTATTTTATAAATTAGGCACAAAAAGAGATTAACAACAATAGCTAATGATAAAAAAAGATTATAACAATATGCTGTAATAAAAGTGATGTGAATGTGGTCTCTCTCAAAATATATGTTTGTATATAACTTTTTCAGGTGATAACTGTTATTATTTCCTCACTCTAGAGAAAATATACTCATGTATATTTGTGCATAATTAATTATAATGAAATAAATTAATATATTCATACTGATAAGCCTTTTTTGAACAGAAATATAACCTTACGTTCACATATTGTGAATGAAGGATAACTATATCAAATTAAAAAAACTATTTTTGGTGTAAAGTGTTAACCATGTTGTGTTAGGGCCAAATTTTTAAAATTATATTAATGACTAGACTCTCTATGACACGACTCCTGATAATTTACTGATCATAAATGTAAAATATTAGTCTTTAAATTGCATTCATCATTTTAAATTGTGCCAGCCAAGGTCTGTGTGCTATTAAATCCATAACATTTAAAAATATTCCCTCATTAGTGACACTGCAGTAGTTATTGCTTTCATTCATGATCTTGGTTTATATTAATAAATGTTATATAAAGTTCAATATCTGTTGCTGCTCATTATTTTTAGTCATGTAGAGGCGAACAACATAATTTGTTGAAATATGAAGACTAGAGCTTAAATAACAAAAAGCTGTGCCTTAAGACTTGAAAATAAGGAGAACTCTTACAATAACCTTACATAAGATACACATTGATTTAAGTATACATACATACATATGCTTTACATTCTTATTATTAGCTATAAAGGGGAGTGGTAAGAACATTATTTCTTACAGTTATATTACATAGGCCTTGCCACCCTAAAAGTCCAAGCATCACTGCCTAATGATGGGAAGAATATCATTTTGAGATAAATTTTCTTCTGCAACTTTCCCTTGTTTTCTGTATTGCTAGTATAGTAATTATTACTAAACCTTTAAGTTGAAAATATTTTATGGTTTAATTCTATTAAGTGTTCCATTGCAAAAAGTAATCATATTTTTAGTTTCTTCAAGAACAAGAAACCAGTCTAATACTTCCTTTTCTCTATACCCAATAAATATCCCTATATGAAATTGACATATATGTTGAAATGTTGTTATTACTATTATTGTGTTTTAATGGAATCACTCTTTTTCATTTAAAAATCATGACTTTTTCATAGTTATATAAGGTTACAATATTTTCATTTTAAAATATATTCAGATATTTATAAATTATATTTTGCATACTATGATTTCTCCTTTATTTGTTGATAATATTTTTCAAACTGCAAAAATAATTATAAAATTTGACTAAAACAAAAGTTGGCAACTGCATTTATATGAAGACACTTCCAATTAAGTGGAAATATTATGGCCTGGCTACACGGTTTACAGAGGCATTCTTACATCTACCTGCGTTTACAGTTCTCACCATGAACAATAATCAAATTAGAGAGAGTAGTGCCACTATCTATGTTCACTGCCATAGGAGTAAAAGAATCAAACTGAAAGATGCTCATTGAAGAGAACATTCTTGGCCGGGTGCAGTGGTTCACGCCTGTAATTCCAGCACTTTGGGAGGCCAACGCGGGTGGATCAGGAGTTCGACACTAGCCTGGCCAACTTCACGAAACACCTAGCCAAACCCCATCTCTACTAAAAATACAAAAAGTAGCTGGGTATGGTGGCATGCGCCTGTAGTCCCAGCTACTCGGGAGACTGAGGCAGGAGAACCGCTTGAACCCGGGAGGCGGAGGTTGCAGTCAGCCAAGATCACACCAATGTGAGACAATCCAGCCTGGGCGACAATGTGAGACTCCATCTCAAAAAAAAAAAAAAAAAGCTGGGAGGTGGCTTTTCTTTTCTTTTGTAGGTGTGACTCAATATCAGGACTTTCATGCTTATAAAATAAATACCAGCTCTGGAGTAGTGGCCAGAGTCGTCTAAGCCTTTTTCATGTAGTTTAAAATTGCTTCCTCCATAAATATATCAATTACTGATTTTTTTTTAGTTTTTTCATAGTTTCTATCATATCAATTTTTGGTGTTATATGAAGATAAAAGTTAATGCTACTCACAGCATTTTAAGCCTGTGAGAAGGAGAATATGTTTATCAGAAAAATGCTTTCATTCGGTTCTTAAATTAAGTTCTGAAAACAAGACATCTCTCCAATCTGGAAGGGGAAATATAAATAGTCAGAGAGGATTCTGTCTCGGCTGAGACCTGTGATGGGAGATTTATGTCCTCCTTTAGACACTCAATAAACAATATGATAAATTAGGAATCAAACTTCTAAGACAGTATGAAAGGAGTTGGTCTTTCTGATGGTGAAACAGACCTTTCATTAAATCTGTGTGGGGCAGCCTTTTCAATAAACACCATTGATAATTTTAAATTAAATATAGTAAGGAGATATTATAGCCTTATTTTTGATGTCCGTACATCTGAGTACAGACTAGTGCTTCTAGATAAATATCTGGAACTGGTCATGAATTACAGATCATGTGTATTCAGTGTTTGTTTCTTTGCATATAAGCAGTGCATTTTATTTTATTTTATTTTATTTTATTTTTTGAGACAGAATTTCACTCTTATTGCCTAGGCTGGAGTGCAATGGCACAATCTCAGCTCACTGCAACCTCTGCTTCCTGGGTTCAAGCGATTCTCCCGCCTCAGCCTCCCGAGTAGCTGGGACTACAGGCGTGCACCACCATGCCCTGCTAATTTTTGTATTTTTAGTGGAGACGGAGTTTCACCATGTTGGCCAGGCTGGTCTCAAACTCCTGACCTCAAGTGATCCACCTGCCTCGGCCTCCCAAAGTGCTGGGATTACAGGCGTGAGCCGCTGTGCCCGACCAAGCAGTGCATTTGATCCCTGTATTTACAAAACCTGATTGCAGTATGTTGCATATTTGTGTCCCAGCTCCATTTCTTTTCATTACAATATAATCATTAAGTTATATCTTGTATACTACCTGAAGAAAGGGTAAAAGAAAATAATCATTTGTTTAATTCGTGCTTATGAACATAAATTCATAAAGTTCAAAGAGAAGACTATAAAAATTAAGTGACAAGTAACAGCAGGACTACTCATCCAATTGAAAAGCTTTGGGTTTTTTTTGTTTGTTTTATTTCTGTTTATTTTCTTATGAGACATGTTTATATTTTCACTTAGCATATAAGAAGTGTTTAGTCCAAGTAATATATTTGCAAGTCAGTAAAATTTTTCCTACAAAAAAAGCCATTGGGTTCATGATTACATTTTAGCCTATAACTGTCAATCATTAAAATTCATGTTATTACAGTTATTTCTAAATTCCCAAAAAGATCCCTTTGTGTGCAATGGCCTGGAGAAGTATGTAATGTAATATATAATTATGGTCCTTCTGAAAGCTCTAATTACAGGATGAATCTAAATATCTTCTCTACCATGACTAGAATAGCCACATGATTTCCCCCTATGTCACAGCTAATCAGGGACACCTACGTCTGGTTTTAGCAACTGATCCCACGTAAATTAACTGAATTAAATGCCTTGACATAGATTCATGCATATGCTTGATGTGACAACCCAATTATATATTTTCAGTTTCTTATCTATACTTCTCAAAAACTAATTTCCCAAACAAAATTGAAGTAGTATACAATAAAAAAAAAAAAAAGCAGAATCCTTAGAATAAGGATCAAAACATAACAGTTAAGCAATGAAGGAAGAAACATGTTTGAAAATCTAGGCTAAGATAATTACTCTATGTAATCATTAAAGTCACTTCCAAAGCAAAAGGAAACTAACAAAGAAAGCAGACTGATTGATCAGGAGAAGCCGCTTTTTCTCAAAATTATACTGCCCACGGCAAAGTCTATTTCCACACTGTTTTCTGCATTAGAACTGATGGATATGTTTGCAGGACTTCTAATTCCTATAGGATTTGATAAGTTCCAATTACGCGAACATTCTTTCTTTTCTGAAATAGCTATTAGTTCCAGGTAAATATGTACAACAGCTCTTGGCGGGATGTTGTCAATCAAAGAATAGCTGTTTTGTTAATAAAAGGGAATAAGATTTACCTTCAGAATCACAGTCCTCACGGACAGCCTAGAAATTGTGATTTTTAAATTTATAGTTTGGTTTCTACAATATCAAATTCAGATTGCTATCATTTAAAATTTGGAAAAAGGGAAAAGGGTACTTTGCTACAAGATTCAATCTTATGTTCCTTACACATGAAGCTACTATGTGGTCCATATCAGACAGATTTCAACACAAGACACATGAGTGGATTAATTGGAGGCATTTGTGAACCAACTACTATGGAATAGGAATACGTAAGATATTCCAATTTGGGGTTTATAAACTTTTTCTGTAGAGACAAATAACAAATATTTTCAGCTCCGTGGGCTACTCAACTCTTCTGTTTTAGCACAAAAGTAGTCATAAACAATATGTAAATAAAAATAAAAATTGGCATCGCTGTGTTCAAATAAAACTTTATTTAAAAAACAGGCAGTGTCTAGGCCTGCCTCTTGTAGTGTGCCATCCCCTGATCTAGGGAAATAGAACAGATAGTTACCTACAAAGTGCTATAAACAAAAGTTTATTTTCCTGCCATGGACTTACTTTCAAGATGTGTTAACCACCTTGTGCTCCATTGGAGTGTACTATAATTTCATACTGGGTTGGGAGGGCTGTCAAGAGAAGTACAATTGAAGAGTTCTTCAAGCAGGATTTCTCCAAATCCTTGCCAACATTTTTTCTGATATAATTATAGGAATACAATCTTCAATGAGATATTTTTTACCTTCTATAAACTTTCGAGAAATAAACATATTTCTGATGTTTTCTCATACAACCTCTTTGTTCTCATAATTACTCAACTAATCTAATATAACTAAGCACCAACTATGAGTCAAGCATTATGCCAATTTTTTAAAAATCATGTGATGAGTTTTTAGTATCACCATGGCATTAATACATATAAAAATATTCCAAGAGAATACAGTAAAGAAAATGAAACAAAGATGTAAATCACTACATTTCAACAAACATTCAACTTACGCCAAGCACTACATGAGTTTTTATAGGAGACTTTACTAGTCAGGGTTCTCCAAAGAAACAGAGCAAACAGGATATATGTGTGTATCTATATGCACACAGACACACACACACACTCCAATAGATATACACACACACATACATATATACCAATAAATTTATTATGAGTTGACTCACATGATTATGGAGGCTGAGATGTCCCACAGTCCAGCCAGAAATCCAGGAAAGCTGGCGGCTTCATTCAGTCTGAATCTAAAGATCTGACAGCCAGGGGATCTGAGGTGTAAATCCTAGTCTGGGCTATGTCCCATCTCTCAGTTTGAGAGATGTCCCAGCTCAAGAAGCAATGAAGCAGGGAAAGAAAAGGAGGTGGTGTGGTCAAATTTCTTCTTCTTTCACCTTTTTAATTCAAGTCCTCATTGGATTAATTGATACCCCAAAACATTGGCAAGGGCAATCTACTTCTCTGAGTCCACTAATTCAAATACTCAGCTCATCCAGAAACACTCTCACAGACACCCAGAAATGTTTAATCTGGGCAACCCTTGGCCCAGTCAGGTTGACACATACAATTAACCATCACAAAGACTTTTTCAAAGTAAGACCAACATATTGTATTTATTTTCCACAAGCCTATACTTTCTTTGTTGAAACAAAGCAAACATACAAAAGAAGATGAATATAACCCTGTATTTAATCACTGATACATTGCATCTTGTATATATGTTTTAATTAAGAAAGGAGAGTTATCAGTATGGTCTGGATAAATAAAATAGGGAGGACTTAATAAAATTGAGATAAAATTGAACTTGGAAACATTGTTAGAATACAAATATGAAAGACGTACAGGTCCTTAAAAGAATAAAGATGGCTTTGAACTTAGGAAATTGGGATCTGTGTCCTAAAAAAGAGAGTGATGAAACAAGTTGATACTTGTTTACTTATCAACTTAGCTTGTCATCTCCAAGCTGAAAAACTTAGCTTGTCATCTCCAGGCTAAAAAACAATTAAATGATAAAAACACATATGTATGTATTAAGTTCTTAGCATAAAACAGAGCTTAATAAATCTGAACTGTTAATATTATCATTTAATATAATTTCCTCAATTCACAGATATGAACACCAACTCCCGGAATGGTGTAGTGATTTACCCCATACAAGATCATCGCTTCCAAGGCAGGTCTCTTTCTACTAATCCATGATTAAGAGAGATAAGCCTAGACTACTCTGAATGTCTTTCCTGGAGTTCTACAATCTTGTAGCCTAGGCTTAATGGACTATATAATGGCCTTGCATAATAACGGCTTAAAAATAGAGGTAGAATTTAAGTGGAGAAAGAAAAGATAACAATCTGGCTTCTACTTGGGCCAAATCCTAACCCCAAATCCCTGTCCCCAAAGAAGATACTAGTATGTTTCTATTTCAGATATACAGCAGCTTGGGGTTGAATTCCACCTCTACCATTTAGAGGCTATGAGATCTCTAATTTACTGAACCTCTCTGTCTCAATTTCTTCATCTTTAAAATAGAACATACCTTATATGGATGTGAGGATTAAATTATTTAAAATATAAAGAGATTAAAACAGAGTCTGGCTCAATAAATGATAGCTATGATTGTTTGCCTTTATTGAGCCCAATGTCTATCTTACATTTTGCTCATTAGCTACAGTATTAAATGGCTTTAATGACCTTGAATCATACTTAACTCAGCATCATAGTTTCTCAGGGACTTAGAAATGCTATAGAAGGAATTCAGTGGAATATGTTAGATAAGATATATTTGTTTTTCTCTGCTACATCCTGAAATTCCACTATTATAAAATTAAAAGAATAAAGAAGATTTAAAGATATAAAATTTTTATAACAAGAGCAGTGATAAAAGGAGAAGAGATGAAAATGGACGAGAAGAGTTAACACATTTTGAAAGATGAAAGCAAATAGTTAAATGGCAACTATTATCAGAGCAGCAATATTGAAGCGTAACTTCCTACAGTGAAAGCCAATTTTCATCCCAGGATCCTAGAAACAAGCAGAAATTGGAAGCACCTGTTGGGTAGGATTGAAAACAGGATGATTTTCTGAAAGTTTATCTAAGGAACAGCTAAAACCCCTATGCAGCTGGGCAACCCCAAAACTCCTGCTGCCACGTAAGATTTGAGGAATTCTCACAGAGGGCTCCAGGCACACACATCAGGGTCTAAAAATAAGACATCATGAAACTCACGGCTTTCATCAACTGACTAAACAAATTCGCTTTTTATGCATAAAGTTGATTGAAGGATTTGAAGTCCATCATATTCCAATGCTCAGAATGAGAGCTTCTATAAATATATGTCCATTTTAAGTCGCATTCAATTAAAAGTTTTGGTCAGTGAAAGTCTTTCAAAATTTATTCACACTCTTCACCATCTTCGATTCCAGTTAGTAGTTTATATGAGCAACTGTTACAGTAATTGGTAAGCAAATGGGCATCCTCAGAGAAGCATGGGACAATTCTTGAGTAGCATAGATTTCTGTTCTTCTTGTCTGATACCTATATGTCTGTAGCCTAAATAAGTTTGCTGTGCAAATATGGCAAGAATATAAGTGGCTGTTTTGAGTGTTGTTTCTCAGAGGGAGCCTAAGGCAACCTCAAAGATTATCCCTCAACACTAGAGATATCTGCTTTCTAGAAGACAGAAGAAGTTAGTTGAAAGAGGGTTGGAAGAGGTAGTAGTGATATGCTGGTCACTACTACCAGGTAAAAGGAGTTCAGACATCCCATAAAGAATGAAAGTCCACCATATCCTACATCGGCAGATGGGTAAACCCTACCTGAGGTGCACAAGAATCAGGGAGTAAGAGTTACAGCTCGGCCCACTCTGACAACCAAGCACTAAAAGCTCCCTCCCCACTAATGCCATGGCACCATGTGAGCCTTCAGGGACTAAGATGGCTCCCAGGGTGTATTAGTCCATTTTTATGGTGCTGATAAAGACATACCTGAGACTGGGCAATTTATAAGAAAAAAAGGTTTAATGGACTCAGTTCCACATGGCTGGGGAGGCCTCACAATCATGGTGGAAGGTGAAATGCATATCTTATATGTCAGCAGAATAATGTCTCAGAATGAGAGCCAAATGAAAGCAGATCAGATCTCATGAGACTTGTTCACTAACATGAGAACAGTATGGGGGAAACTGCTCCCATGATTCAATTATCCGCCACCGGGTCCCTCTCACAACACGTGGGAATTATGGGAGTTACAATTCAAGACAAGATTTGGGTGGGGACACAGCCAAACCATATCACAGGGTCTGGCATAAGCAGGGAGAAAGATGAATTAACTGAATATTAAACATGAAATGACTGAAAAAAAACTGGAATGTGTTAGCCAGAGTAAGGTTTCAGAAAAAAATGGAAGTTTGAGACATCTATTAAGTATGGAAAAGTAATTTTTTTGTTTTTATTTTTTACAAAAATGGTGTTTTTTGACTGAAAAATGTATACCCACCAGCCTGGTACTCTTTCTCTACTCCACTTTTACTGGAACCCATTTCACCAATATGCAACATAGATCATTTTCCCTTTCTACATTTTTCCTTTCAGTGACATAATCTTTCTCATGCCATTAATTCCACCTTTATGAAGATGAATTCAGACTGTCTCCACTTTTAGTGTCCTTCTTTCCCCTGAATTCCAAATCCAGTTTCAAGCAGTTTGTCTATATGTGCACCTCAAGCTCCCTCATAAGATGCAAAAGTTATTCTCCTATTTTGGTTCTTTAAGCCCGGCCATGTTCACCCTGGCCAGTTGGGAGTCAGTGGCAACATTCCCAGAACCGCTGCCCTCCTGTTCTTGGCTCATGCATACTTGCTCTTTCTCCTGGGACCTAGATTTCTGACTTCATACTCTGAATTTGGCACTTTCATCTGGCACCTTAGCACTCTGCACTTCAATTTTGTACCCAGACTTTCTGCGTAATCCCCTAGTTTTTTACAATGTCATTGCCTCAAATGTCAATCTTCCTTTCCCACTCCAGTCCCAAGTGCCAGCCCAGAGGTGGCAAATTCTGACAATCATAGCCCCTATGCGTGCAATTCTCTTAAGTCCTCATCTTGGAATTCTCTTCAGAAACTTCCCCCTCAGAAACATCTGGGTCTCCTTACTCTCTCCCTCCCAGTCTTCATGCTCATTTGGTGGCTGTATTAGTCCAGTCTCATGTTGCTAATAAAGATGTACCCGAGACTAGGTAATTCATAAAGGAAAGAGATTTAATTGACTCACAGTTCCACATCACTGGGGAGGACTCAGGAAACTTACAGTCATGGTGGAAGGAGAAGCAAACATGTCCTTCTTCACATGGCAGCAGGCAAGAGAACATGTGCAGGGTAACAGATTACCTGATGGTTATAAAACCATCAGATCTCATGAGACTTATTCACTATCATGAGAACAGCATAGGAAACCTGCCCCCATGACTTAAGTACCTCCCACCAGGTCTCTCCCATGACACATAGGGATTATGGGAGCTAAAATTCAAGGTGGGATTTGGGTGGGGACACAGCCAAACCATATCTGTGGCTAAGTGCTCTTAATTCTGTCCTCACAGTGTCTTTCATATTGATTTCCTCCTTTGAATTCTCATTGCTGTCACCTTAAGGCTCTCACTTAGAAAACTGAAATGGCATCCTAACTGGTCGCTCTACTTCCAAGTCTCTATTACTAAACTATAAGATTTATTGTTGTTAGAATAACCCTTCTAAAACATGTTTATTTATTCTTAATCTTATTACATAAAAGATTTATGTGGAAAATCAAAACAAAAGAACATTACTCCTTCCCACCCGTTTTCCTTCCATTTCCCACAGTACACAATTCAAACACTACTGTTTTATGGTTATACCCTCTCCATAACTCCATAAATTCAATTTTTTGGCCTACCATACCTCTTTCCTTATACAACCCAACATGTACTGTTATGTTTCTAAGCATTTTCCCCCACTTTTCCATCTGTGAAGAAGCCTGTTCCTCCCAGGTCTGCCTGTCAAAATTTTGCCACCCTTCAAAGTCAAACACAAGTGTCCCTTTCTTAAAGTTATTACCTAGGATGTTCCTCTCATCCACCCCACACTTTGTGTATATCTCTCCTGAGCACGGATCTCACTTCAGAGGCAGGGAACTTATTCATGTACATCTTCATCACTAGATTATTGCCATCTTTAATGATGACTCCCATGTTTCCCCCATGGCATTTAAGACTGAGCCTTGCACGTAACAGGTGCTCAATATATGTAAGTTGAATTGAACGTACTAGAATTTCAGAAAAAAATATACCTGTAGAAATCTCTATCTCTGGTTAAATATAACTGTTCACCCTCTCTATTCTTCCCCCTCCATTCTGCCTCCACAACTGCATAAGGCTAGAGAAAAAGATACAAATACTGTTGAAATTCTTACCTTGGAGGCATATCTCAAATGGACCCTACAGCTCTCAGCCAGCCAAAATGAACTACATATCATTAACATAGAGGCCAAGGAAATAGTATCCGATTTTCAAAGATACTATTTAGAACTTACAGGGACAAGATATTAACTTAGTCTAATGATTTACTTATAAAGAAGGAGTTTACTTACAGCCATTATGTTTAGGATGACTCCGTCTCGCCCTAATATTCATTCCAGAAACAAGCGAATTTGCAAACTGGAAATGACCCATACATCACATATAAGACCATGACTTTAATTAAACCTGGTAAAAATCATGATTTTATCTGAATTGATTTTGGTGCAAAAACTTTAATAGGGTGGATAAATATTTAAAATAAATCCTTTGCTTACAATAGTTTTAACTTAGAAGTTGAGAAATCCCCACATTTATTTTTGTCAAGTGGTTGGGAATATATATAACTTTTAGAACTCTGGATAGTTATTCCGGAAGAAGAGTTTAAATGGTCATACGTAGTTTCTAGAACTAAACAAAAATTACAGACAGATTATTTTTTATGTTTTCATTTTGAAAGTATGGTTAACTTCAGTTATTCATTAAATATCCACAGTGTATTTATGAGATAACTCCAGCGAGCCAGAACCTAAGTGAATGTTCTACATTCACTACAGTTTACTCAGACTTCACCAACCTTTAAATAAGTGCCTCAAGCACCTAACATGCTTAACGCATTTTTCATACATTGCTTAAGGAAGATATTACTGAAGTGGATTGTTTTTATTTCCCACATATTGACAATAGAATGAAGTATATCAAGTCAGAGAATAATAGAAGGGATATTTACAACTAAATCCTAGAGAGTTTGTTCAAACCAAAGATGGACTATAGAAGTTAAAGTCTCTTATATTACTACAGGGTTTTTGTGACACCTCCTTCACACAAGCCTTTCTGATGTGCCAGTAGACCCTGTTTCTACTAATAAATTTGCTGTGACCCCTCTCTCCTTATCCTCATATCAAGTAAAATCATGAGTTTCCCCACCTTTGCACAGGATGTCTCTTAACCATTTGTTCCATGAAATCCAGCAAAGATTCAGTTAGTTGTGATGAGGTGAGAACCTGTGGTGACCACTGTTCACTGTGCAGGTGGAGGATTAGAAAAAGAAAGGAAAAGCTGTGGCTGCAGTGGGAAATAGAGGCTCTGATTTCCTGGTAATTATTGTGGAAACCTCTTGCATGGTTGTCCATATTCTGGTTGGGCTTAATTTTTTAAAACAAAGCAAAACAACAAAACAACTTAAATGCTATGTATAACATACTCTTCATGCAAATGTACTATACATGGGAATAGAATGATGGACCAGTCAAAATCCCATCCCCAAGAAACTTGATTCTAGTGAAGGAGATAAATTTGCACAAAAAGGACTATAACATGAGGCAAAATGGTAAATTCTATAAGATTAGTGTAAAAATGCTATGGGAGGGAAGAACAGTATTTGTGTGTTTTTTTGCAGGGCTAAGATTTGGGTTTTTTGTTTGTTTGTTTGTTTGTTTTTTGAGACGGAGTCTCGCTCTGTCGCCCAGGCTGGAGTGCAGTGGCGCGATCTAGGCTCACTGCAAGCTCCGCCTCCCGGGTTCACTCCATTCTCCTGCCTCAGCCTCCGGAGTAGCTGGGACTACGGGCGCCCATCACCACGCCCGGCTAATTTTTTGTATTTTTAGTAGAGACGGGGTTTCACCGTGTTAGCCAGGATGGTCTCGATCTCCTGACCTCGTGATGCGCCCGCCTCGGCCTCCCAAAGTGCTGGGATTACAGGCGTGAGCCACCGCGCCCGGCCGATTTGGGGTGGTTGTAATGAGAAGTTGGCTTTAAACTGGGCCCCAAATAATTGTTAAGACCTCAAGAAGTGGAGGATGGTGTTGGGAGTGGAAATTCAAAAGCAGTTTCGAAGCAAGGGAGCCACAGTGGGAGAAACAAATCAAAGCAGAGTGTAGAGATTTTAAACCATGATCTCTCTTCAAGTAAGAAAGAAAGGACAGATGAGTTCTATAGGTCATTTCCATCTATTTTCTGGAAGAAAGTGAACTTGTTAACCTATAACTATATAAGATATTATTCTTCTAATATGAATATGAAGTATATGTTGATATGCTCCCATGCATTATGTAGAAATTTAGACTGAATTAATAGTTATCAATTTATAAGGTATTGAAGACATTTTCCTTTTTTCAAATGAAAATGAACTTTTTAATAAGTACTGACTGGTGCCAGGCATAGTGGCTCAAGCCAGGCCTGTAATCCCAGCACTTTGGGAGGCTGAGGTGGGAGAATCACTTGAGGTCAGTAGTTCAAGACCAGCCTGGTCAATGTGGAGAAACACCTTCTAGACTAAAAATACAAAAATAAACCGGGTGTGGTGTTGTGCACCTGTAGTCCTAGCTACTCGGGAGGCTGAGGCAGGAGAATTGCTTGGACCCTGGAAGTGGAGGTTGCAGTGAGCTGAGATAGCACCACTACACTCCAGCCTGGGCAACAGAGCAAGACTCTGTCTCAGAAAAAAACAAAACAAAACAAAAAAAAAAACAGTACAGAATGGGTAACACATTTGGTACTGATAAGAACCTCAACAGTATCCCTGGTCTACCTGGAGTCTGAGCCTACCTAGACCCTCTCTGTTTCTGGTGGGCAGTAGTTCTCAGTGGATGCAGAGTATAAAAGAATGTTGCAGTCACTGAGCATCTGGACTGAGAAACATTTGATGAGAGGCTCATAAGCCAAAACATATGTACTTTACAGCTGTGAGTATGTTGGATCAGTCTGACTCCTAGTTTTCTGATTTGTATGTAAGATAAGAATTTTCTTAATGTAAGCTCGTGCATTCATTACTATAAACATATAGTAGTATATTGGTACTATAAGTTATCCTAGATATGTAGCATCATCTTTTATATATTTGGAAAATGTATAAGCTCAGAAAAATGCTGGGTTGGGAAATTATTTGAATTCATTTTAGATTTCTCAGAATATAATCATGTCAAACCTAAATATAACCACATATAGGACAAGTTTTACAATTTCTGTGTATGCCAAGTCCTTTAAAATACTTTTTTGAATGAATTTGTGTATTTCAAGGTTTTCAGAAAAGTATATGAATAGTAAAGTAAAACAGCAAAACGCATGAATGTAATTACTATTTCTTTAAAAAAAAAGCTAACATGGAACATTGGAGTATTTCCATAAATATCTGAACCCCTCAAATCTACATAGAAATAATAAAAAATATGCCAGCCTGGATTAATGCAGACATTCCTGAATATAACTTGCAAATAACAAGCTATGGCAGATCTTCTATATGGCGATTCTTTGAAAGGTATTATGGTACAACCGCTCCTCCAATAAAGTGGGGAGGAAGATTAGGAATTAGTTAACCTGGCTTTTTGCCAGTTAATGGGGCAGGTTTCTGAAACCCTCTGCTGTGGTCTGAATGTCCCTTCCCAAAATTCACATGTTGAAACTTAATCACCAATGTGATAATATTAAGAGGTGGGACCTTTCAATAGATGATTAAGTCCTGAGGGCATGAATGGGATCAGTGACCTTATAAAAGAGGTACAAGGGAGCTGTTTGCCCTTCCCCCAACGTGAGAGCACAGCATTTGCCTTTTCTGCAGTGTGAGTGAGGACACGGCAAGAAGTACCATCTATGAAGCAGAAAGTGAGCCTTCCCTAGACATGGAATTGGTCGACACCTGGATCTTGAACTTCCTAGGCTTCAGAACTGTTAGAAATAAATTTCTATTATTTATAAATTACTCAATCTTTTTGTTATAGCTCTTTTGTTATAGCAGACCTCTCCAAATCAGTTTATTCTTGCACAGAGTTAAGTAACAATTTAGTGACATAAAATAGATACTGTGTTAATTTAATGCTTGGTACATACTAGGATTCATAAAATATGAGTTTCTTTCCTTTCTTTTGTAACACAGCTGCAAATAGAAATGGTTGAGCTTGTCCTAAAGGCTCTTTATTTTAAGACAGTGGACAAGGAGTTAGCTAGTTAGGTACACATTTACACCTCATTAGCAAGAAGGAGAATTGCTTGCAGGCCAACTTCTTAAACCCCAACAACGTCATCTTTAGCTCACCTTTCAAGGAGCGTTAGGTTTAAATATAAACGTCTTCTGTTCATCCATGAACCTACCTACTTGCTGACTCAATTACTGGCTTTATGAACAGATATAGAATATATGTATATTAGTCTTTCATATCCACCTTCTCTCAATGAAACCAAAAGTGTTTCTATTACCATTGGCAGGACGTAAGCAGCCCAGCTTGTTTGGAATTTACCTTTAATTTTTACTTGGCATCTTTGAATTATAAATGGTAAAAAATTAGAACTGATTGTAGACAACAGAAATCCTATGTAGGTTATTCCTTGCATTATTATTATTATTATTATTATTATTAACAGATGTCTCTGCAACATCTGTTTTATCTTACTGAAATTCATAAAGCTAAACACAGCTGCTATTCCATAGGAAAGTGGGAATAAGGGGCAGAGGAAGTGAGAAAGACATTTTTTCCAAAGGAGGTGGCTTGGAGAAAGTAGAAAAATACGCTGTTGGTTTTTTTTTTTTTACTGTTGCCTAACTTGGGTGTCCTAGGATTTTCTTGAACTTCCTGAGAACTGTTGTGTAACAGACAGATGTAATAAGTATATATTCAAAACACCATTCAGAAAAAAATACATTTGAGGCATCTTGTAAACCAGAAAAAAATGGTACTAAAGTCTATTTCATCTATTTCTGTTTCTCACAAAAATATTTATGTCTTTGTGTAATAATTTACAGTTTCTCTTTTCCCCTAAAAGCGTAAGAATTGGTCACATAGCACACTATTTTCTCAATAACTGTGCATTCACAAGCAGCATATGAAATGGTAATCAATGGCTATGGGCCAGGAGATGGCCAATGATATCATGAGAGATAACTGAGAAGCCATTTTCAGCCACTGAATCCATGTTTCTTACACTTTCCTATCCTGTTTTTCCCACTCAGTAGCACACCTTGATCTGTATTAAGAAGCTCAAGCACATTAAAAGCCATTTTCTTTACTGAGCAAGTGTTTTGAAATAATCTGCAAAAGCGGACTAACACCTAATATTCAAATTTTTAAAATGTGACCACTGGATATTACCAGAGTCACCATCTTTCTCCCCACATTTCTTCCCTCAGTTGATTTTTAGAAAGGCAAAGGCAAGGCAAGTTCTTGCTTTGTCTTTTATATTACAGCACAAATGAATGAGAAGCCAACGTCATTCATCTCCATACCCCGTTAACAACTTAGCGTATTTGCAACTGTAACAATAAACTCAACAGCAGCATTTGTCATGTTTTTATCTGAAATCTTCATGCAAATAAAAAAGATGAGATGATCTATAATATATTTAGGAAATGTTTCAAAAAGTGAATAAAATCTTGCTCAACAGAAGGCTCTATTCTATACAGCTTAGAATCCACAGCAGTTGGAGCTGAAGTTAAAATTATTCAAATGATGATTTAGCACTAAATTTCAGAGACTTGAATGATCTTGATAGTAGGTGAAAATCAGCACCATGACATAAATTGTTTAGTCAAAGTGTCAAGATTTTCTTCTATTTCCCTCTCTTTCATTGTAAACTTGTCCTCTCTGTGTGAGTGCTAACACATGAGATGCTAAGAAACAAAGTGATCAGAAATTTGTATGGTTTAAGCAATCTTGTTCACATTTTTAAGTGAGGAAAACTATTCGGAACCACACTAATGGGCTGAAAAGGCAATGTAAATGGGAGAACAATTGAAGCAAAGCTTTCCACCTGTATTGCTAAGGGTTCTTCTTAACTTGATGACATATTTCTGACACCCTTGGACACACCTGCCATTACATTCCCATTTTCCTAATCTCACTAGGATCATTAGGGGATTCTCTGAATGATCAGACAGGCAATTATTGTAGTGTATTCTCAACACTAGCTGGTCAACGTGGCATCAACAGCCTGTGCACTTAATTCAAATAGCACCATTGCCAGAAAAGGGTTTATGCTTGCAGAGGGTGAGAATATGCAGGAGAAATGAAGTTCAAATGCTTTGCAAGAGCCACCCCCACCCCTTTGCTAATTTCCATGGAAGGGTTGGCTGTGCTGAATATTTAGGAAAACAATATTAATGCTGCTGCTTCAGAGGATCCATGGGGAAATCTGATAAATATCTGATTAAATTAGTCTCCAACATAATTACATTAAAGTCAAATTTGTTTAACTTTTTTTATGCTTGGTTATCTCTGCACAGCCAAAAAGATGTTAATTGGCAACCTAGCTTCTAATGTATTTATACCACTGGTGGTTTATTAAGTTCAAGTTTTATAATGCAAATGAAAAGAGATTGAAGTCATTTTTTTATAGCTAACAATTAAACTTTGAGGTTTTGGTTTTAAAAGGAGCCTGTGAAGTCTTTAGTTTACACTGGTATTTTTACTATAAATCTTTTAAAGAATATCAATTTAAAAGAGATATTACGTGTTCATAGAAGTATTCTTCATACTTCTAGACATTAGAAAATAGAGCTAAGGAAAATTGAAACCAGGAAAGAGACCTTACCCTACTGACTCTGCAAGTGTGGCATTAGAATTGAGAAGGTGCCATAGGGAAAGGTTCTTACCATGTAAACTACCTTCTCCAACTCTTTCATTGATTATATCTCTTCAGCATGCCCACAAAGAACTTATAATTCAACAGAAAGTACAAGAAATGAAAAATAATACAAAAACAGTGTTTTAAAAATAGAAACTCAATTCATTAAATTACTGTGTTACTCTGTTTGCATTGCTGTAAATGAATACATGAGGCTGGATACTTTACAAAGGATTATCAAGATGCATAGCGCCTGCATCTGCTTGGTTTTTGCCAGGCCTCAGGAAGTTTTTACTCACGGCAGAAGGCAAAGGGGAGCAGGCACTTCACATAGTGAAAGAGGGAGCAAGAGAGAGAAAGAGATGTGCCAGGCTCCTTTTTAAATAATCAGATCTTAGGTGAACTCATTACTATGGGGAGGGCATCAAGCCATTCATGAGGGATCTGCCCCCATAACCCAAACACCTCCCACCAGGCCTCACCTCCAACACTGGGAATTGCATCTCTAAATGAGATTTGGAGGGTACAAACATCCAAACTGTGTCAATTACTGTATATGCAAAGAACATAATTGATATCTATACTCCTGTCTAAGTTTTGCTGAGAGAATCCTGGTGGATTTTCTTTTCCCCTAGTAGATTTTTATATGCCAATGAAACGGGATGTTCAAATTGGAGTTATCCTATCCTAGCCTTTGTGTCAGATGAAGCCCTAAAATTAAGATAATTGGTGTTTGTTAACTGCTCACACATTTTTAAGAGTGGTGCATAAACATATATGCACAATTTGCTAAGGGGTGACACGAAATCCAGTCTGGTATATCATAGACCATTGTTACTTCCAGGATATAAATGGGGACATAACTGGTGGAGGTGTGCTGGTAAAGAGGATTTCTTTACAGAGACTATTGCCAGAGCATTGTATTATCTCTTTCACCTACACACTGGGTGATAGTGACACCAGTCTAAAAGAAGCCAACTGGAGGAGCCTGGGGCTCCACAGCTTAGAGACAGTGCTGCACTCAGAGTAGCCTACACCTCCCAGAGTGTGGCCAAAGCAAGAAAGCTTATATTTCCTGTGGGCCAGATCTCAACCGACTAGAAAGGTGGGGAACTTGGCTCATTTCAGAGGGACTTTGACCATGAGGACTGCTTCAAAGAATGATGCAGACTTCGCAGGGATGGACTGAAGGAGTCCAGAACCATATGGAGAGTTGTAGGCAGTCAGCATAGGAGACATCAACCTATCATAAAGCGGCGGGGGAAGATTCCCACTAGGGATTACTGAAGAGCCCTCAGATTGCCCTGTACCCAGCCAGACAAGGGAACGATTGAGCATCTGACACTCCTAGAAGGCATGAGTGTCAGATTCCAACTGGAAATTCAAGAGCTTTCTGAACCTTACCTCTCCTCCCTCTCCACCTCTCCAACAGAGGAGGGGCAAGAGGTTGCACAGTGAGAAGAGCTGCCTGAGGAAATCACAAAGAAGGGTAGTGTAAACCCTTTCCCCACCGGAGTGTTCCCATTCTGAGCCAAGTTTAGCTTGGGGGAAAAGGGAAGCTATAATCTGGTTGAGAACAATTTTGTTGGGAGATTGGGCTAACAGAAATAAAATAAAATGTAAGGTACCTAGAAAAGCTTTAGGACTAGCCTAGGATTTCATCCAAGACCAGGCAAGAAAGAGACTGCAAAGCAGGGA